>NC_000001.11:234820485-234972000 GCF_000001405.40 Homo sapiens
TTGTAAATATGTTTTTGGAAACCATGAGCATTTAGAGCTGAGGCTGGGAATTGACATAATGTTCAGTGAAGACTAGGAGATGCAGGAGGGGTTTCATAGGCTCAAGGAAACAGTATTGAAATGGGTGGGCCATGGGCCTACAGTGGAGTAGAGGATGGATAAAGTCAGACAGAGTTCTTGGCAAGTGGTGGAAGAGTTTGTAGTCAGACAGGGAGACCTCTGGGCCCAATATTTTTGAAGTGAGACAGTTCTGTGTGACTCTGAGCATAGCCATAGGCATAGCCATGTGTATGACCAAAGAAGGCAATGAGGAAGGCGAGTGGTCAGCTCAGGAATGGACACCCTGAGGCTGAAGACCCTGAGAATTCCCAGGAGATGCAGCAGAAAAGAAGAAGCTGGATGTGGGACTCACTGGGGAAGGTGAGGTATGTCCCTGTGTCCCAAGAGGAAGAGGGCAAGAATGAAGAGTGTACAAGAAATATGAATTGCCAAGAGACTCTAGACAGTGCAGGAACACAGCTGCAGAGGCCCCCTGGAGAGAAGCCCACCATCCTCCCCTCCCAGGGACTGACACGGCAAAGGTATAGATGGCTTTGCACCCATCCCCCACTATCTGGCTCCTGCAGGAACCCTGACCAGGGAAAGCTGACTTCAGAGAAGGCAAATATGCCAAAACCCATGTTACAGAGACATTCGCGTGGTATCTCACCTACTTGTGCAGGCAGAGAAAGACTTGGCATCTCTCCCAAGCTGTATTCTTGACTCACTCTATGAATGAGGGCCTCCGATTTTCCACCTATTAAATGGGATAATAATTCTTGACATCTACTTGCTTCACTTGAACACTATGAATATAAAATTTTTCCCAAGTGCTTTGAGCTCACATTAAAAGGCTCTACCTAAACATTAGTGCACTCACTGCTGGATTTTCTTGGACACCAATCAACTTAAGTGGATAATAATAAATTCCTCTGCCTATCTTTGTTGAGAGATTAAAAGAGGGAGAATCCCACAAGACCTTGCTTCTAGAATCCTCTGCTCTATAAAGTCTCTTAGGAAAGGAGTGTGAGGATGCACTCAGATGCAAGAGGTGTCTAGAATTGTTTGGTTTTAGAAATCTCCTTCCCTGAGCCATCTGGACTAAAGCATATGGCACAGAAGAATGAGGATGGAGTTGGGTAATACTTTGGGACCATGGGCAGACATAGAGTAGATTCCAGGTTCATTTACTCCCTCACGTGTTCATTTATTCCATACAATTTTGCAGAGCTTTTTTCATGGGCTTCCTGCAAAGCATCTAACCGCCAACCCCAGCGTCTGGTTGTCACTGTCTGGCCGCAGAACCAGCTTTCCCTGGCTGGACCTGTCTTCAGAGTCAGGTTGCTTGCCTTGCAGCCCCGCACCCACTCACATTCTCCTTGCTCTCTAGGTCCATGGGGTGAGATCGCTGACTGACAGAAGGAAGCTGTTCTCTGGGGTGTGCGTGACCCAAAGACCAATGGAGGGAGGAAGAATAGATGCTCCAAATGGCCACTGCACTTCTCCAATGTCTGAAGGTGAGATTTCCATAGGGGCGAGGTGTACAGTGATCTTGTCCAGCTAAAGTTTCCCACCTCCCTAAGGAGTTTGTAAGTTTCTCAAGCGTAACGATCTGAATTCTCTTATCCTGAAGGACTGTTCACACAGTAGGAATGTGTTGAATGCAACTGAATAAATGATTTAGGCCATAAATTTGAGGACTGGATCATTCCCTTTAAGCTCCTGGTGGGTTAGGCAGATGCCAGAGAGGCTTCCCTTGTTCTTCCATAATATGTTGGCTTGCAGTTCTTTATTTTAACTAAAAGTGAAAGGCACAGATCAGAACAGCAACAAAGATGCTGCCCTTGAAGACTCAATCCTGTTAAATTCACCCCAAGCAGTGCCTCGTTTAAATGGGCTGCCACTTACCAGGGTTTGTAAAACCAAGTTCAGAAAGAACCAGAATGGAAATGCCCCCTCGGATCCTGAATTTCTTCCTTTCCCGCTCAGGGGTTTAAAGAGGCCCGACACTGACAGAGCTTTCGAAGCCTTTCCTGCTCTCTGGGACTCACCTGAGTTTAGTCACGTTTCTGTTGGCGTAAGGAAAAGCATTTTGCAACCACATCCACCCAATGATAGGATGGGAGGCCTCTCCACATAGTGAGGGTGGACCCTGTGTTTGCTGCAAAGGCTGTGCCACTGTCCACGTGGGATGCTGTAAAAGGGACTTCCACCTGGGTGGGCGGTGACATCAGCAGACCCCTAGGGTCTTTTCCAACTCAAAGCTTCTTTAATCATATGGTTTCAAGGCCAGGCACGGTGGCTCACACCCGTAATCCCAGCACTTTGGGAGGTCGAGGTCAAGAGTTCGAGACCAGCCTGGTCAACATGGTGAAACCCTGTCTCTACTAAAAATACAAAAATTAGCTGAGTGTGGTGGCTTGCACCTGTAGTCCCAGCTACTCGGGAGGCTGAGGCAAGAGAATTGCTTGAACTTGGGGGGCAGAGGTTGCAGTGAGCCTAGATCATGCCACTGCACTCCAGCCTGGGCTACAGAGACAGACTCCATCTCAAAAACAAAAACAAAAACAAAAAAAAAATCCTATGGTTTCAGGTAATGGGACTCTGGAAAGAATGGTGGCAGGACATAGGCTCTGAACCTGCAAGAAAGAATGATGGCTTGAGAAACAGAATTGATTTGATGTTGGGGGCCATCCTTACTAACAGGTCCCCCATGAGCAAGCTAATCCAATTCACGAGACAGAAGCTGGTCATTTGGATAGCTAAAAAAAAAAAAACCATCAACCATGACCCAGTTTCAGTGACAGTGCACAGTAATGGCCTCAATTAGGCGGAAATTGCTGGCGCTCCTGTTCTGCTTCTCCATGCTCATCCTCCTGAGCACTTTGCACCTTGATGGCGATGTGCGGTTGGTACACAATGTGTGTGAAAGGCGCTGGCATAAAAGTGGTTTTATGGCTGTAGCTTGGGTTTGTAAGCAGAGCAAACAGAAAAAAAACTCAGGAATAAAAGGGGCAATAAAATAATTACATAACGCTTTGAACTCACACTAAATACCACCTTTATTTCAAAGCTCTCAATGTGTTTTACAGGCAAGTTTAGAACTGTAGTCGAATCCCCTTTTATCACAGAGGAAACTGAGTCACTGTGCAGCGAGGGCTGGAGGGCATACAGGGTTTGTTACAAGGGAGGACTCTCGGAGACACCCCCAATAGAAGCCCTTCAGGGAGCGGGCCAGCGGGAGAGCACCCCCGACCACACCTTTGTTCTGCATTTATATGTACAGATTCTTATCCCTACGTATAAATTCTACCCACACATCCCGAGCCATGTCTGAGCCCCTTGACTCTGGCATTAACAATAGGAATAACAACACTTACCAGTTTTGATGCCTACCATACATCAGGCACTGCTTCCCCTACACCTCACTACCATCTGTGAGGTTGCTGTTATTATCCTCATTGTGTAAATGGAGACAATAAGAGGTTCAATGCTCTGGCCAGGTGACACCCCACACCCTCCAGCCCCAAACACACACACACATACCAGAGGTGGCCTCAGAGCACACACTTTCCTTACCACGGACACCTGCTTCCAAAATTAAAGAACCAGATTAACATTTTTCCAAAGAAGCCAGAAACTTCTATTTATCCCTCCAGTCTTCATTTCAGAATACGGAGAAGACCAGGACAGATTCTGACAGGCTTCCCTTAGAGTTGAAGAAAACAGTTTGGAAGACAAACAGCTAAAAAAAACAAAACCATGAGGTGAGCTGGACAGGCATTCTAAGATCTTAACTGTAAAGAGCTCCATAAAAGTTATAAGAGATTGTTAAATAATGGAGAGAATTCCAGAACTCCAAAAATATTACTATAGAGTGTTCAAATGAGGAAGAAGAATTTTTTTTTTTTTTTTTTTTTTGAGATGGAGTCTTGCTCTGTCACCCAGGCTGGAGTGCAGTGGCGCGATCTCGGCTCACTGCAAGCTCCGCCTCTCGGGTTCATGCCATTCTCCTGCCTCAGCCTCTTGGGTAGCTGGGACTACAGGCACCCGCCACCAAGCCCAGCTAATTTTTTTGTATTTTTAGTAGAGACGGGCTTTCACTGTGTTAGCCAGGATGGTCTCGATCTCCTGACCTCGTGATCCGCCCACCGAAGAATTTTAAAGTATTTATTGTTCTTAGATTTTGTGTGTGTGTGTGTGTGAGTGTATGTGTGCTTACTATTCAAAATTTGAAAACCGTCCCATTGAATGTATTTTAATTGTCTAATATGGGAACAACTCAAGAGTGACAAGATTACATGTCACTGACACAAGAACTACCCACTGTGGATTCTGCGGGACTCAATCACTCCTTCTAGGGCATGGCCACAGACCCCCCTAGCTCCAAGGGAACTCTGGCTAGCTACTCATCAAACCCGCTTCCCTTTCCTCCTGGGCAAGCTGGGCTCTATTTCCCAGGCTATTTGCAGTTGAGCATAGCCATGTGACTGGGTTCCGGCCAATTTTCCCTCTACCAGCGATCTGTAAAACTTCCTGGGCCGGTCATGGTGGCTCACACCTGTAATCCCAGCACTTCGGGAGGCTGAGGTGGGTGGATGACCTGAGGTCAGGAGTTCAAGACCAGCCTGGTCAACATGGTGACACCCTGTCTCTACTAAAAATACAAAATTAGCCAGGTATGGTGGCGCATGCATGTAATCCCAGCTACTTGGGAGGCTGTGGCAGGAAAATCGCTTGAATCTGGGAGGCAGAGATTGCAGTGAGCCGACATCTCGCCACTGCACTCCAGCCTGGGTAACAAGAGTGAAACTCCATTTAAAAAAAAAAAAAAAAGAGCTTCCTGGGCAATTCTCCACTGTCTTTCACTACCATCTGTCTCCTGGAGGTCAACACCTGGGGGATCTAGAAAACATACATCAAGGACGACAGAGCCTTCATCTGCCTGGAACATGAGGGGCTGGTTGGAACAGGACCCCTTTCCCATTCCCTGCTGCTGATTAAATGTGACTGATTTGGTGTTGAGAGCCATCCTAACTAATAGGTCCAACATGTGCAAGCTAATCCAATTCATGGGGTAGAACCTGATCATTTGATTGCTTAAAAAAAAAAAAAACTAACCACAGAACAGTTTCAATGACAGTTATAACATGTTATAAAATGTTATAATAGCCAGCATTCCCTTCACTAACAGAGTAATTTAGAGATAAGAATCTACCCTCTCCAGGAAGGTGAAAAGTTTCATGATCTTCTCCCCCCATTGCACAGTAGAAAGAAGCCAGAGGTGCAGAGATACTCTGTCATTTTCTTTGTTGAATTGGTGGACTGTGATAAAACTCAGCTTCTTCAGTACCCTTTCTGGAGGCTCTAGGCTGAGGATGACAAATTGGTTTTGTCTTGAAGCCACCTGCAAATGATTGCTAGTCACTGCCTGCACTGAGACGGATTCTGAGGCCAAGTCGAGGCTTAGCAGGAAAGAATACTGTGACCTACACGCCTTCTCAGCCAAACGCACAGAACAGGAATGGCCACATATGTGCTCGTGTCAGCCAGTGTTCCTGGGGGCTTGTCCACGGGCAGATTCCTTCATAATCCCTTGGGATGCTTGCAATAATTCCATCTCCGAGCCCTCACCCTCACCCTCTCAAGGTTTACTGAATTAAAATCTTTGGGCGTGGACCCTGGAAATCTGCAGTTGTCTCGACTTTTTGTGGAATTTTGATGTAGAGTCAGCTTTGGAAACCACCTAGGAGCCTGTAGGCTCCTGCACGGGCACTGCAGCAAGGTAGCAGCAAAGGTGGGCTGTCTTTACCACCAAGACCGGGTAAATTAGGGATAATAATAACACCTGCCTCATAAGGATGGTGGAAAAATTAAAGGAGATTTTACATAATAAGCACTCAACAAATATTAGCTTTTATTATGTTATCTTCTTCTAAGAGTCTGTAAGAGGCCTTTTGCCCACGGCCATGAGCACAGGTAAAAACACCGTTTTCTAAGATTTCCAGATGGACAGCACCATCACATGCCCACATAGCGTGGATACAGCAACATCCAGGGCTCGGGCGCGGGCATAGTGTTTGCTCCCTATTTACGGCTGTAAGCAGCCTCACCTCAGCTTCACATCCAAGCTGGCTAAGAACCCTGGACAAAGAGAATCTGTTGAGAGGAGCTTAGAGGAAGACAGGAGGTGAGTACACAGAGATGCTGACTTAGTCAAGACCATCATGGTTACAGTGCCGGGCAGTGCTGCTGGTAATGGTGACAGTGGTACAGGTGGTCTCAATGTGATGTGATAGTGGCTTGCCAACCGATATTGTTGATGTGGGTTCAGGGCTGCAGGAGAACAATGAGCTAGACCTTCCTCTAGCCTCACATCCTAAACTTTACTGCCTTTCTTTCTTACGGCATTTTCACCATCTCTGTTTATCAATGGTCACACCCTAGCTCTGGGTGCTCATCTCTCAATAATATGATGAGAGAGGATGGAAAAGGAAAATCTCTCTCATTTTCCAACTCATACCCATGAAGATACAAATAAACAAAACTCCTGACTCTTGTGAATGTCACCAAGAAAAAAATTAGTTGGAAGACTAGCCAGTAACTCACAAGTCAACCCAGAAGTTTCTGGACATGAACAGGAAGCAAAGCATACCAGGGGTTGGCAGCTTTCACCAC
Source organism: Homo sapiens (assembly GCF_000001405.40). Classification (NCBI taxonomy): domain Eukaryota; kingdom Metazoa; phylum Chordata; class Mammalia; order Primates; family Hominidae; genus Homo; species Homo sapiens. The sequence continues at coordinate 234,827,203 of NC_000001.11, forward strand.
AGCTGAGCTCTTGCACTGTCCAATCTGATGATGAAGTGCTTCCCTGAGACCCTGGCCATCCTGCCAGCCCCATGGCACCACTGCTAACAGGTGCAGGATGCTGGGACCTCCACCGCCCACCTTCTGCTCAAGTCTCCAGTGTCCCTGGGCTGATTCTCCTCACTCACTGCTCACTTGGTCCAGCTGGCCAAGCTTGGATCCTGTGTCCACACCCCACTGCCAGGGGTCTAGGAGAGCTAGTAGCCAGCCTATCCTGTTTCCCTGGTGGATGGCAGAGTCCCAACATAAGAAGTGGGTTCAAATGCAAGGCAGCCAAAAAACCAGGAAATATTTAGTTCACTCACCTAATCCTGGTTATTTTCAGCTGATCAACAAACAGAAAAGCAGAAAACCCCAAATTTGACTGCTCTATCTGCTTATCCTTCTGTGAGCCCTTCTAAGCAAGCTTTGGAGAAGAGCCCCACATGCAGCTGTGGGGTTTAATTAAATCCTGTTCAGGAGGAAAAGATAGAGGTGGTTGTCAGGCATGTGGCTCAGTTGACTATTCAGAGTTGGAGTCTTTGCTTTTGGGCGGTGAGGTCTCAGGAGCCAGGGGACCTCGGCCAGTCCCAGTGAACTGAATGAAGGGTCGCTAGCAGAAGCAAGAGGCGCCATGGGGCCCCAAGAAGATCAGGAGCCTGGACGTGCCTAGTTCCAGCATATTCTGTGGAGCCGTTCACCAGCCAAGGAGCCGGGAAGTCTGGGTTCCAGCCCAGCCCTGCCTTTGCTCCTGGCATAACTTTGAGCTGATCTTTCAACTTTTGTGACTCAGTTTACTCACTTGCCAAATGGAGATAATCATATGGCACTCAAAAGACTTTTGTAAGACTCTAATGAGTGTTTATAAAGCACTTTGGAGAGGTTTATAGTTATTTGAGCTGGGAAAGGAATTACAAATTATTCAGAAGTAAACAGTATTTAGAATCTGAATTTTTCAGCCACCAACAGGTTTTCCTAGATGTTTACAAGACTGTCATAATAGGACACCCTGGGGTTCCATCCATGCCAGTTGGTTTCATTCAGAGCAGCCCTCCTCCCTGAAAAGCGTGGCACAGGCTTGGGGAGGATCATGCAACCACGTATGGCACATTTTGCAGCTCTCAAGACAAGAGAATGACTGGATTTAGAAATGGAAGCCACATGCTCAAGACTTTCATTTTCTTTTCTCTTTTTTTCCTTTCTTCATTTTAATTTTACTTTTAGAAACTGGGGATAGCATCAGAGCAAGTCTCCATAGACCTGCTTTGAAAGCCAGATAGCCTGGCATGGTTGCATGCACGTATAAGCTCAGCTACCCTAGAGACTGACGTGGGACGATCAGTTGAGCCGGGAGGTCAAGGCTGCAGTGAGCTAGGATGGCGCCACTGCTCTCCAGCCTGGGCAACAGAGCAGGAAGACCCTGTCTCAAATAAATGAATAAATGAATGAGTAATAAATAAATGCTACATAAACCTGATTTCTCCCCAACAATAACACCTCTTCCCAAATTGAATGTCTGCTATCCCTACCTCCATGAGAATTTGCGCGGCATGTGACAGTAACAGATACCCATTCACAAAGAAACACATTTCATTCCCACAGGAGTTTGGAATTTTAAAACATAGAGTACTTGTGTGTAAGGAGAAAAATAATAACATCTGCTGAGTCTCCATGTGGAGTGTTGTCCTCCACGCTTCCACTTGCCTTTTCTCTCCCTTGTTTGCACAGTAACACTGTGAGGGTCGCTAGATGTTCCCATCTCCAGTTTACAGAGGGGACACTAAACCTAACAGCAGGAAGCTGCCCAATGGCAAAGGCATGTACCCGGTCAGTGTGCGGCGGAGCATACGTGCATGCCTGGGCATACCCTCTTCTGCTTCCGTGTTGTTGGTGCTGCTGCACCATCAGCAGCTGTACCTAGTTACTAAACACGCGAGTGCTGTACAGGTATCCCAAACTCTGCCATAATCCCTTGCCCAACCGCCAGGACCCTGAGCCACCAAGCACAATGAAATAGGTAGGATGTGGAGGGCAAGAGAGAAAGGAGGAGTTCGACGTGAAAGTTGGTGGTCTCTGGCTGGCTGTCCTTGGGTTGGCCAGAGGAGAGGGAGGGGCAGCAGGAAAACAAGGGCTCCCTGAACTTTTAATTTTGGTAGAAGAGCTCAACTCAGTTCTTGTTTTACCCTCTGTCTCAAAGACCAGCCTGATCCTGCAGAACCATTTGCTGTTGGATTCCCCAGTGAACACCAGCCATGAAACCAGAGCATCTGAGTTTCCTCCTAAATCATTTCCATGAAGAGGGGTGGCCTTCCCACTCCCGATCCACACTCAGAAGAATTGATAGGAAAAAGGGACCCATTTTCTCTGGAGATAGCCTCCCTGTCGTCAAATCATTTTCACGTCTATGATTCCATCTCAGCCTGAAAGAGCAGGAAGTCTTTGAAAAGAGAGAGGGGACATCATCAGAAGGAACCAGGTTCAGAGAGTTTCCCACAAACCACTCAGCCTGGCCCTCAACACCTACCCCAAGATGGCAACAAATCTCCATGCCTGCCATAGGTTGGCCATTCAAATTCACTCAACAAACCTGTCCTTGGAATCCCTACCATAGACTCGCTGGGAGGTTTACAGCAAGATGTGAAGGAATTGTCCCTGGCCTCCCACAGATTATAATCTAGAGAGGTAACAGAAAAACGGTATTGATTCCAGAAAACTGCATTCAAGGAGATGAATAAAGGACAATGGAAGAAAGTCAACTCTTCACTAATCAAACAACCATAGGTTTTCAGCTCCAGGTGCTGGTTCTTCCATCTCTGCCTGGGATGTCTTCCTGCTCCAGGTCGCTTTGTTTTAAGTCTTCCACACCCTCCTGGTGTATCACAGACGATACCTCCTGCAGGAAGCCTTGCTTGATGCCTCCATTATCTCTCTTTCTCTCTCTCTCTCTATCCTTTGAACTCCATGGTTCTTAGCTAGTATCTCCCTGATGACACCTTGTATTTTCCATCCACATAATTTCCACATCTGTCTTAATGCCCACGTGGCTCTGTACCCCGCCTAAGGGCGGGACTACATCCTGTACATGATAGGTGCTCAATCAATATTTGTGGGATTTCATTAAATCCTGTTGAAAATCTTAACAAGTAAAATAATGAGGACCTGTAGTTATATTTGCTGGATTTAAAAGAGTCCTATAATAGTGTATAGTTAACTTTAAAAAGCAGATTATAAAATAGAATATATAGGACAACTCTGATTATGTGACTATAGATGCATCTTGTTGCAATCAGGGTCCTGGCTAAAAGCAGAATGTATCAAATAGGGTCCATAGGAAGAAGCTTTAGTGAAGGGACCCCTTCAAGAGCTGTGTGCAGAGTGAAGTGAACAGACAGGAAGGTGACACCCAGGCTAGCAAGGCGGGGCTCCCAGGACCCCATACCCATGAAGAACAAAGCAGGTGGAGAGAGTTTCTGGGGCCTGGCTAGGACTGGAACCATGCAGGGTGGGGGGCGGTGGTGGAAACTGAAGCCAGGAAGGACAAGCAGCCTCAGAGATGAGCACGGACAGAGAGACAAGTGCAGACACAGAGACGAACGTGGACACAGGGAGCGGCTGTCTCAGGATTTCTCTCTCTGCCCACAGGCTTGACTCCTGCAGGTGCCTCTCATCAGCTGAACTCACAGGAAGCCAGGGGCCAAAGGAACCTGGGTAATTCCCCGAGGGGGTCAGCCTCCCAGGCACAGCGGAAGGCAAAGGATGGCTCCATGGCGAGGGCAATGGATACTTACACATAACACACTCAGGAGAACCAGGAGGGCGTGCTCCAGAGGTGCACGGAGACGCGATTAGGAGGGACAGCCAGCTTTTTCCTTATCTTTTTCATTTTGTTTTGTTTTTAGAACAAGCATATATTGTTTCTATAATCAAGGGGAAAAATGGGTTTTCCATTCAACACTCTGACCTAGAAATTCATGCAGGAGAAAAAATAAAAAGGCATATTGAATAGTGATCTGTACTTTTTAAATCTCCTTCAAACATTTTCATCTCTACTTTGTAAAATTAAAGACACACCTAACTATTCATGTATTCATCCAGTCAGTGACTTATTTGTTCAACAAATATTTTTCAATACATTCTATGCTGGATCTTGGAGATAAGGCTGTTAACAAGGCAGATGTAGGGCCAGGTGTGGTGGCTCATGCCTACAATCCCAGCACTTACGGCCACCGAGGTGGGCAGATCACCTGAGGCCAGGAGTTCAAGACCAGCATGGGCAACATAGCAAGACCCAGTTTTTTCAAAAAATAAAAAAAGTTAGCCAGGTTTCAGCTATTCAGGAGACTGAGGTGGGAGGATCAATTGAGCCTGGGAAGTCAGGGCTGCAGTGAGCTATGATCGCATCACTGCACTCCAGCCTGGGGAACGGAGCAAAACACTGCCCCGCCCCCCCCAAAAAAAAGCAGGCATAGTCCTGGACCCACAAAGCCCAAAATCTGGCAGAGAAAATGGGCAGGGGACCATAAACCACAAGACAGAGAGGAAGGGTCCCAGGTGACAGGTGAGAGGTGGTGTGAAGCAGGCATGGTGCCCCAGTATGCACCTAGATTGAACTCTTCACTCGCCCAAAGAAGGGACGTGGGAGGCTGCTTCCCAGAATCACACAAGGCAATATCACTCTTTTTCCATGAAAGACTAGGGCCATAAAATAAGTCCGCACCTTCATTTCTATTGGGCTACCCTTCCAAACTCAGACTAGGTCTATGCAACATGAAGTGGATTCAGATTTTTTAAAAACCATTTTAAAAATTAACAAACTAAGTGAGTATTTCATTAACACGATACCACACCGTGGAGCTTACTAAATGAGTGGCTGCTTCCAAGTCCCTCCAGAGAGACGCCCATCCCCATTTCTACTGTCCCCTTGCTCTGCACAAGCCCTGGATGCAGCCTCAGCTTTCCTTGGCTTTCCTCTTTAGTAGCAGCACCTGTATTCTCATATTTGTGAATCCTTTTGAAACCCCCAAAATATGGCAGACTGTCATGTGATAGTGGTTGTATGTTTAATATTTCTTGATTAAGAAAATACATGACAAAAGTCTATAATGAATTTAGCCATGCTTTTGAATAAACATGCATTTTATTAATTATAGCCATCTACATAGATTCAACAAATAACAGCTCACATGGCTGGGAAGTGCTGCTTATTCAGTCCACACAGGCAATGCTTGCAGGGCACATGCATTCTCAGGCCTCTTGCAATAACTCTGGCTACCCTTCTACCCCAGGGATCTAAGGCTCCCAGGTCAGAAACTTGAGAATGAGTGATTTACCATCACAGGTTAAACCAGCTCCACTCCAGTCACTCAGACCGAGTGCTTCAGAACTTTCCCCAAAGTGGAAGAGGAACCTGCAAATCCAATCGAGACAGACTTCAAAAATTGCAACCATCAGAGTTGTAGGGAAATACGGGGAAAGGCTGGGTTCGAGCCTCAGATCTGCTCCACACTGTGCAACTGCTCTCTCAAAGCTTTGGTTTCTGTTTCTACAAAATATATCAATATCATCATCATCTCTATCCAGGGAGCCCATTTAAAAATCAGGTGCAGCTGCTTCGGTGAGTGATGGGATTAAGGATGATTGCTGTTTTTCTTCTTTAATTCTATTAATTTTCCACGTTTCCTACTATTATTATGTGCTGCTTTTATACTCAGAAAATGTGCGCTTTATTTCAATGCTTTGTAAACTACAAAGTGCATTACATGTGACTGTGTCCTTATCTGTGCGATGAGGGTGGAAATAGCCCTGAACTTGGGCTGCTGTAGGAATTTGTAAGTTGTCATATTCTTATTGAGCACCTACTGTTGAGTTAAGATGAAATGAATTAATACATGGAGAGCACGTAACATAGTGCCTGGCACATAGAAAACATCGTAATTGTATTTATCTGTTTGTTGATTGATCATTACTGCTACAGATACAGGAGGTGCACAGAGAGAGTGTTCAAGGACCAAGCCTATTCTCTGAACTTTGTTTTGACAGCTCCCATGGGCACATTGGGGACAGTTCAGTCTACCTCTCCTGACCACAGGAAAAGTAGATCAAGGTCAGGCCCCTAACACCACCGTAATCAGGATGTTGACTGGTCAGGGGCTATAAAGCAGCATGGCTCTGGGGTAGCGTCTTTAGATCTGAATAACTATTTTCAGAGACAGGGTGCTGTTTTAGTTCTGCTGGTCTCTACCCAAACAAAGCTTGCCATATGGACCTACTAAGAGTGGACACAGCTCTTGATGTGAAGTCATGGTCAAGCAGTTTTCCCTTTGCATGCAAAGAGGGGAATGAACTAACATTTACTGGTTGTCTTAGTCCATTTGGGCTGAGATAACAAAATACCATAGACTGTATCTTATAAATAACAGACATTTGTTTTTTACAGCTCTGGAAGCTTCTAGCTTATAAATAACAAATCTTTCCCACAGTTCTGGAGACCAGAAGTCTGAGATGAGGGTGCCAGTATGGTCGGGTTCTGGAGTGGCCTCTTCCAGACAGCCTGCTTCCTGCTTCGTCCTCACTAGCCCCTTACTTATGAGGGCACTAATCACCTCCGTGAGGGCTCCACCCTCATGACCTCATCACCTCCCAAAGACTTCACTTCCTAATACCAACCATCACATCAGGGTTAGCTTTCAACATGGGAATTTTGGAGAGGAGACACAGACATTCAGACCACAGCACCTGGGAATATTTTAGCATTCTGATAATACTCCAGCCATTGTGCAAAGCGCATTTTCATACTTTATCTCATTTTGGCTGACAACAACAAATGAGACAGGCATGATCATGTCCCAGTCTTCAGATGAAGAAACTGAGGCTCAAGTAAATGTAAGAAATTTACCTAATGTCAAACAGCTAATAAGAGGTCAAGCTGGGATTCTGACCTCAGTCTAGTTGACTCAGACTTCTGCAAGCCTCTCTTCCTAATTTCTACCTACTCAGAAACTTCTAGAAGCAATTTTGAATGCTGATCCTAATCTGCAAAGCCCATTTCAGTCTTCCAAGTGCAGAGTCCACAAACCCAGAAGCCTTTGGCCCTTTGCTCACTTACCCTTAGGCTTTTTCTTCTTCTTCTTCTTTTTTAATAACACAGATGGGGTCTTGCTATGTTGCCTAGGCTAGTCTCAAACTCCTGGGCTCGAGGGATCCTCACACCTCAGCCTCTCAAAACACTGGGATTACATGTGTGAGCCACCAAACCAGGTCTCTTTTTTTTTTTTTTTTCTTGACAAGGTCTTGCTTTGTCTCCCTGGCTGGAGTGCAGTGGCCTAAAAACAGCTCACAGCAGCCTCAAACCCCCAGGCTCAAGCAATCCTCCCACTTCAGCCTCCCAAGTAGCTGGGACTAAAGGCACATGCCACCATGCCTGGCTTATGTTTGTACTTGTTATAGAAACAGGGTTGCACCATGTTGCCCAGGCTGATCTCGAATGTCTGAGCTCACACGATCCACCTGCCTCAGCCTTCCAAAGTGCTGGAATTACAGGTGGGAGCCACCGCTCCTGGCTATTTTCAGCTTTTTTATCCCACAAATGGTAAAGAAAAATGGCCAACCATGTCTTGAGGTTCATCTGGGGGCTCTGAGATCCTTGGTCAGAGTAAGACATTCTTTAATCAAAGTTTGACGTGTATGGGATTGGGGTACCATTGAATTCTCTGTAGTTAAGGGACCTGATTCCAACAGCAGGTTGAAGGAAGGATAGGTGTGGAAGAAAGGTCTTTTCAAATAGAGGGACATCGTCGTTCACTTCAAATAAATGGAAGCCAATAGTGAGCTGTAAAATAAATTAAGGATAAATGGTAGGAATTGAGCCTATCATTAAGTATTTATAAATCAATAATTAAAGCCCATCCTCACTATCTCCTACCCATTTTCTCTTAACTAGTATTGTCTTAGGTCTACTAAGGTCAATGATAATTCTCAAGCCAGTAAGCTCTCAAAATCAGGTGCTAGAAAAATAATAAGCTCTTTTATCTTCAAAGATTAGAAACCCTTAACTAGACCAAACCACAGAACGTTAGCCGAGTAAGCATCATCCTTTAGAGATGATGAAAGTGGGTCCCCAGGGTGGCCAAGTGGCTTGCCTGAAGTCTTATTGTAGGACTACTTTAGAGATGCTAGTGCCTGGACTGACTTAAGGTAAGCAAACACAATATCCTGATGACCATGAGTCCAAAAGTCACTTGACACTTAACTGCTGGGGACACCAATAATCTAATTCAGGGAGAATGAAAATAGCCATTCACTTCTTGGTAGAGCCTGGCATTTCCTTTGGAAAAAGACTCTATAATGATGAAGACCAACATAAGTGGGCTTGGAAGCCATGATCAAGAAGCAGGGAGATGGCTGGAAATTCCACCTGCATCTCCGCCACCCCTGAAGAGGGCAGCCAGGCTGAACTGTCCCACAGACCAGGACAACCCCAGACTGCACTGCCCATTTGTCTTTTCATCTCCAATACAGCAAGACACATTACTACCGTGCTTTGTGCAATCGGTCAGTTTGGAGTTGTTGTAAGAGATAAAGTGAATTGTGAGACCGCAGAGTTTTGGCCCTTTCTGAAGGATATCCCAGAACATATTTGGGCTACCTGAGTTCTTAACTCCAAAAGGTTGAAATTACCTGAGTTCAATATCGTTGTTGAACAGCATACATGGACATAATAGAAGTAACTGTCCGTCATCTACAACCATGCATAGGAGCTCAAATAACCCAGTACTGTTTAGTGACAGTAAAATTTTTCTCACCTGAAAATGAAGTTGCAATAATTTATACAGAAGCTATGGCTTTCAAATTATATTTTTATCTAGAGAAACACAGAAATTGTTTCCTTGTACAAAAAGGCTGATGTGGAAAGGAGTTGATCACATGCATTCTGGGTGGCAGTGAGACTTTTGCTCCAGAGGAAAAACTGGCTTCCTGGAAAATGCACCAAGTTGGAGAATGTGGATCAATCCCAGCTGTATTCCTGGCAAGATTTAGATCTACCCAAACAGATTTAACATACTCGCCAGAGTCCGGAGTCCACCAACTCATCAGAAAATGGACAGATGTTCATTTGGAGCCTCAACATCGGGAAAATGCTGTCTTCTCTTCCTATCACTCCATTTGGTTCTCTGTATTACTCAAGTGAGTAAATGCCCAGCCTGACCCAGCCACTTCCTCTGCAGTATAAGGAGGGCAACAATTCTTTGTCAACAGCATCTGTGGCTCTCTGAGGTCTGGATGGACAGTGGCTTGCATTGTTGTGTATGTAAATGCATGTTCCCATTATTTTACACAATACTAACCCACCACCACCACTCCCTGCAGTGCTTGGTAGCGCTAAACGAGCTGGCCTGAGATTTCACATAGGGCAAAAGGGGAAATCGAGAGCATCTTAAGGGAAAGTCCAGTGAACGTAAAATAAAAGTTCCTTCAGGGCCCCCAGACACATGGCAATACTTCAAGGTGTGGCCAAGAAAGGAGAGGGTGTATTTGGATAGACCACCAGAATAACAGCACTTGTGAGTATGTTGATACGTGATGGAGATGTTGCTAAATGTCACTCAGTAATATAGCCCTTGCCTCCATCCACAAAAATAATAAATATCAGCATCTCTCGATGCTGAACGCAGAGCCACCAAGATCTCCAAATTCCTACTATAACTGCCAAGGACACTGAGTGTGCGTCCAAGTACTTCAGTGAATCCATCTTGAATAATCTGTCCTCTGACGTCCAAGCCAAAAAGAAAACCTGTTCCCAGACCTAGCAGGGGTTTTAGAAACTAGGTAACTACTCACCAAGGAGACATTGAGTACATTTGCCTGCCTGTGAAATAATTGTGATAGAAAGGAATCAATTATGGACCCATCTGCAGTTCATTAATATGATCTGTTGAAAAGGAGGCCAAATTCACCAAGTCAACCCGAAAGTCTAAAAATAGGACTAATGCGAGCCTGGCTCAGCAATAAAAAGATCCCTGCATCTGCTGGTGTAGGAGCCCCTGGGCCCTTCCTCACTCTTTACTACTTATCCTCAGTGGTAATTGGGAATGAAGGCATTTATTTTCTTTCCAGAAAAAGAGAAAAACACTCCGTGAAGATTATTGTGGCCAAAAATACCATCCTGTGCTGGTGAAGGAGAAAAAAATCAGAGATTGCTCTCTCATAGCACAAATCCTGGGTGTTTTAAAGATTTCTAAAGGGTCTCCTGTTAAATGGTTCAAAGGGATACATCTTCCTTGAAGGTAGTAGGGTGGCAATTCCCAAAGTATGATATGGGCAAGGATTTTAAGAGGCACATAGATGAATAAATTTTTAGTAATAGCTGTATTTATGGTAATGTGTATTATGCATTAAGAAAATCGTAGCTAGCGTAGCCAACCTGTGACTCCAAGTTGCTTAGAATTAGGATATATCTAAAATATGTTATAAGTTTATAAGTGGAATTGTGCAAGAGTATAAGTACTAAATAAAAGTGATGAAAGTGGCATGCAAAGATGCAAAATGAAATCAGAAGATAGCACATGAATTGCTAAAAGTTGGGAGATACTACTCTTAGGGATGAAGCCAGATGGGTTCCCATGGCTTGGGCCAGTGATGTGGTACACAAAATCATTTCCACAGCCCCAGTAGACTTACTGACAGTCTGGGACCTCAGCAATGTTGCAAGATCTACCTGGTTTCTTACCACATTAAGAAGTCTTAACCCAAATGGGGTGGTCCAATGGTAGTGGGTTATCAGAACTTATTAAGATTAGTGTCACTAAAGTTGGTGTTCAACCCCCAACTCAGCCACTGCTACATTTGACTGGGAAGAAGAAGAAGAAGAAGAAGAAGAAGAAGAAGAAGAAGAAGAAGAAGAAGAAGAAGGAGGAGGAGGAGGAGGAGGAGGAGGAGGAGGAGGAGGAGGAGGAGGAGGAGGAGGAGGAGGGGGGCGGGGTAGGAGAGGAGGGGGAGGGGGAGGGGAGGGGAATGGGAGGGGGAGGGGAGGGGAGGGGGAGGGAAAGGGGAGGGAAGGAGAGGGGAGAGGAGGGGAGGGGAGGGGAGGGAAGAGGCAGGGGGAGGGGAAAGAAGAAGGAAGAAGGAAGAAGAAGAGTTAACCACAATAAACTGTGCAACAGAAGGAGATTCCTTTTATAATCAACAGGCTCAGGGCCTATATTTTTGAAGTTGAACCACATGCCCTAGTGCCCTGGAGGACAACAAGTATAATATATTTTTGCTGTTTTGGATGAGCTTGAGGCTACAGGCACAGAGAAGGGGTTCCTGCAGTCTTTTGACCCTTTATTCCATCCCATGACCTCAACCCTGATAAAATAAGCAGGGGCTTTTGAATCAAGCTTGTCCACTGCCTGGACAATGAGGGGCAAGAAGCACACGGACTCTGGATGCACCCATATGGGCCTGCGATTTTCGGGGTACCTGGTGGGAAAGTAACTTTGGAGAGTGAGCCATCTGCTCACATGGAAGAAAGAAGAATCTGATGCCTTTCTACTCACCACAAAAGCTCTCACCTCTAGTTTAATAAACTGTAGCTCATTCCCACGATGGGATACTGTGTGGCTATTAAACAGTATGAGTTAGACCAAACATGGAAATAGGGAAAAAGAAAAAAAGGAGTTGCAGAATAACATTTTAGCATGATTTGCTTTTGTGCAAAATAAAAGCATTTACATATGCTTGTATGTAAACATAGAGTATTTCTGGAAAGATTTATCAAAACTGTTCATGAAAATTACTTATCCAAGTAGGGCTCACTGGGTAGGAGGACCCAAGGGTAGACAGGCAGATTTTAAGCTCCAGTTTATATAGCTGTCTGTGCCTTCGTAATTTTTGCAGTGACCTCTATTGCTTTTATAACAAAAGCCTTTTTGAATGATAGCAAACAATGGAGCAATATTTAAAAGCTTATGTCAATGCCCCAGGAATATTTAGTCCATGAAACATATGTTGGAGTGAGATGCTCACTTGCATTTACATAATAATCACAATAGATAATATATATTACATAGTAATCATGAAATATACTTAGATTTACATAATAATCATCATACGGAATGCGTATTGCTTAATGGTCATTATAAAACCTATGTAGGCAGAAGCACAGGCATGGATCTGGAGCACTTAAAGGAGCTGGAGGAGAGGATGAGACTAGATCCCCCTTGCTGTAAATAAGACAGCCCCTCTTGCTGGCAGTAATCACAGCCATGAGTTGACTGTCCACCACGGCGGCACTAGATTAGTCACATCACCTACATTAGCTCTGATCCTCACAATAACTCTCAGAGGTGCTGGTGAGAGCTTCTATTTCTCTGTTTTACAGATGAGGAAACTGAGACTTTGGAAGTTTACCCCATTATCAAGGCAGAGAAGCTAACTGTTCAGCAACACTCACGTGGCTCTTTCCATAGTGTAGAAATTGTGAGATTACACATTCTGGTCCCCTATCTCAGGGGTCCCCAAACCCAGAGCCACAGACTGGTACCAGTCCTTGGCTTGTTAGGAACTAGACCACACAGCAGGAGGTGAGCAGCAGGGGAGCAAGTGAAGCTTCATTGGTATTTACAGCCACTCCCCATGGCTCGCATTACCACCTAAGCTCTGCCTCCTGTCAGATCAGCAGCAGCATTACATTCTCACAGGAGAGTGAACCCTATTGTGAACTGCGCATGTGAGGGATCCAGGTTGCTCCTTATGAGAATCTAATGCCTGATGATCTCTCACTGTCTCCCATCACCCCCAGATGGGACCATCTAGTTGCAGAAAAACAAGCTCAGGGCTCCCACTAACTCTACATTATGGTGAGTTGTGTAACTATTTCATTATGTATTATAATGTAATCATAATAGAAATAAAGTGCACAATAAATATAATAAATATAATGTGCTTGAATCGTCCTGAAACCATCCCCCTCACCACCCCAGTCCATGGAAAAATTGTCTGGTGCCCAAGAAGTTTGGGGGCCACTGCCTTACCTCAGCAACACATGACTAGAAGTGATATGTATCACTCTGGGCTAAGGTGGTAAGACATGCCCTCTCTGTCACCTTCCACCTCCACGCAGAATTCTCCAGGGCCTTAGGAGATGGCAGAGTCACATCCTGGAAGGAGCCTGGATCTCTGAGTTACCACCTGGAGGGAAGCCACCCACTGACTTGAATGAGACATAAGCATCAGTGGAAAGGCTCTGAAATTTGAGCATTTATTTGTTACTGCTACTAGTGTTACCCTAAGTCATGCAACAACTGAAAGGCAGTGCCAGAAGGCCATTAGGTTTCAAAGCATACAGAGTAGCATGAAGACACCAGGGCCATTAGTCTTTAAAGCCCGTGCCCACATAATCATAGCAAAATAGCCCCCAAACCATACTATAAGTCTACTGTTTACCTATGGTCTTACCCAGCCACCAGCCCAGAGTGGGGCTCTGGACTGAAGCCAAGTGGAGAAACAAGTGGCATCAATGCACCTAGCATGCCCCCAGCTATGCAACACCTCCCCAGCCACCCTTCTCTGCACAGGAGCTGAAGGTGAGCATGGCTCCCCAGACAGACTATCATGGCCAGCAGTGTCAGCAGGAATCTCTATCCCAGGGAAGGCTCTGAGAGCTCTAGCTTTACCTCCAATCCTCCTCCATCATCAAACTCAGCACTGGCTCTGCCTGGAGTCATATTTACATAACCAAACATGACCCCCACCACACTTCCAACCCACCCACCTCCCTGAGGCCATTGGCGGTGTTCGTGGCATCCTTCTTGCCTGCCACAGTGGCTGAGCTGAGCTGGGGCCACTTCCCACACTGACTCATGCCCTTGGCCCTTATCTAGTCACACTGCCCAATGGGGAATGTGATGAGCTCCCTGAGAATCTTGAGGGGGCTGTCTAGTCCCAAAGGGGCTGGAGACTCTGGATAGGAATTTGGGCTATAAAAATTCTCTACATTTTAGAGGATATTTTATCTCCTATAAAGCTCCCAATGTTTTATAGATTTGGCCCTGTCATAGTGATTGGCAAAACTGGATCTGACAAAAAAAATTTTTGAGCTATGCCAATAACTGTGATTCCTCTTTGTTACTCATTGAGTGTAAGGCGTGGAGAAATATTGTTTCTGCCATTCACCAGGTATAGGCTTTGAAAGAGCAGAGGTGGGGTCTGTGTGTATTTACCACTGCATCATCAGATCCAGATCTCAGCAGACTGCCTGGAACACGGCCAGTGCTCAGAAATATTTGTTGTCTAAGAGTAAGGGGCCCTCTTCATGAGCCATGGAGAATTGGAAAGCCATAATTTTGGAGGAATATTAAATTTTGCTTCAAACATAGGTATAGTCTTTGGCTAATTTGTCCAGACATGGTCCCTGCAAGTTCGAAAGGGATGTGACAGGTAACCCTACAAATAAGGGAAAAGATGCAAAGGGAGAGGATTCAAGCATTCCCGAAGACATCTGGGACCACAAGGAGAGGAAGCATTAATCTCCGAACTGTTCATTAACCCCTGCACTCCCAGACCACGCAATTTTCTAACACTCTCTCAGGAGAGGAGAGCGTGCTGGTGACAGATATAACATCGCGTGAGGCATCACAAGAGTTAGTAAGAACCAGGTCACTGCCCACTGCCTGATTTCTATGAAGACAGCATAGCTGGTCAGTGGTCAAAAAACAGAAGTGGGCCCCAACCCCGGAGACAAATGAGGAACTCCCCAGTCAAAGCCAATCGCAGTCTACTGGGGGATGAAAACAATGTACTTATGTGGTAAGCCTATAAAGAGGTGCTTTTCTGATATTTTCTAAAACCTAAGCTTTTTTTTTTTTAATTCTACACAAGGAAGTGTTACACAGAGGCCCTGTTACAGCTGTTGCTTCACAAAAGTTGCATCAGTTTTCAGTGGCAATATTAGCATTTAACTGTGCTAGAGCACCAATAGACACACACATCCTGAGAAATCAAGTAATTCATTTCCTCTTTCAATTCTAAGTATTTCATTGATGCATCCTTAAGTCTCTACGAAATGTGTTAATTTCCAGGGAAGAAAGGTAATCAGTAATGCTATTCTAAAATAAAACAACTAATTAAATTTTTTTTAAAAAAGAAGACAGAAGTAGAATCATTGCGACTATTTCTTGATTAAGTAGCCTAAGTACATTCATCAGTGGTGTCGTTTTCTGGTTTCCAACAACATAATTTTGTTTGTTGATTATTTTATCCAAAGATATTGCTATACTAAATATCCTGCCAACAGATGTTTCCTCCGGTTTATAGATGTTCACACTTGGTCCCAGACTCTCTTCTAGGTGCTGAGGATACAGCCGTGGACATCTAGCCCCAGTGCAGCTTGTATTCTGATGGGATAGGAGGTGAACCCCAGCAACTGAGCTCCTTTGTTCATGGCAATAAGCCGCCCAGAGCTGACTCCCATTCGGCTGACCACACTGGCTGTGAGCTGCAGCATTTCGGCTTCACGTCCAGGACCTCAGAAGTACAGCAGGAAACTTGACCTAGTCCTCTTCCAGACTTCAGGCCCTTCCCTAACCCCAGCAAGACCAGCCAACAGGTTTCAGCTCCCAACACAGGGCGGATCTCAAACATAACAGGTGACTCAAATGCAGTCTGCGATAGAGTTGGCGCTTTGATGAGTGTCTGGCCCCAGGAGAAGGATTTCAGAAAGCTCAGTTCACAGCACACATCTGGAGGGGCATCCTCAGGGCTTGGGTTTCTGGCAGGCATCTGGGCTGAGGGACTAGCAGGGCTGTCTATGCGCTCACACAGGAAGCCCCGAGAAACATGCCACCCGTGGCAGCCAGCTGGGCTTTCCGCAGAGCCAGGGTTCTGTCCCACTTGTGAGCTGCTTATCTCATCCTCCACCCACACCCCAGGGAGGCAGTGAAGGGCTTTCAGGCAGGAGCAGCCTCATAAGCACTATAATAATGTCAGTTGACTTGAGTTGACTAATATCATGACAGCGTGTTGCAGTCTTCAGAGAAAGATACTAAAATGGTTGTGCTATTACGGATCTCAGAGCATTAAGGAAAGTTGACCAGCTTTCACTGGGCTGAACCAAGGGGTGAAGCAGTCAGAGACAAGGCTGGGACTTTCCTGTTTCTGTAAAACATACTTCTTTCCATTCAAAAAGTTTTGGACAGGCAATATGCAAAAAGACAACTGCTGAATGATTCCACTTGTATGAGGCACCTAGAGGAGTCAAAGTCACAGAGACAGAAAGTAGAATGGTGGGTGCCAGGGACTAGGGGGAGGGGAATGAGAAGTTCGTGTTTAATGGGTACAGTTTCAGTTTGGAAAGATGCAAAGGCTTCCGGGATGATGGTGATGTTTGCACCATAATGTGAATGTACTTAATGAATGCCACCAAATGGTACGCTTAAAAATGCTTCAAATAGGCCAGGTGCAGTGGCTCATGCCTGTAATCCCAGCACTTTGGGAGGCTGATGTGGGCGGTTCACCTGAGATCAGAAGTTTGAGACCAGACTAACCAACATGGAGAAACCCCATCTCTACCAAAAATGCAAAATTAGCTGGGCATGATGGTGCACGCCTGTAATCCCCGCTACTCAGGAGGCTGAGGCAGGAGAATCGCTTGAACCCAGGAGGCAGAGGTTGTGGTGAGCCAAGATCGTGCCATTGCACTCCAGCCTGGGCAACAGAGCAAGACTCTGTCTACAAAAAAAAAAAAAAAGCTTCAAACGGTAAATTTTATGTTGTGTATATTTTACCACAATTAAAATGTATGGAAATATTTATTCTGATTCTTCAGTTAGATCATTTGTGGGTTAAATATGCCCCATGTAGCATTTCTTTCTGTAAATATACTGCCCCATCCCCCACATGGTATTAGACTGAGATTCCTAAGGGTAGAAACTATTTATCATTCATCTTTTTAGCCCCACTCCACCCAGTACAAAGCTCTATATAACATACCACTGGATAAATGTTATTTAAAGAAAAAAATGGATGAACAAGTGAACTCAGAATTCCCATACCGTTGCACCACGTTTTTTTCTAAACATGTGTTCACAGAATAGTAGCAGCAACAATGAGCATTATGAATGCCCTGTATTCAGAGTAAATAAGACTGTCAATCCAAAAGAAAAAGAAATAGTTAAGTGCATATATCTAGCCATATTGAAAGTTTCCTACCCTAAGTCCCCAGACAGCCCTCACTTGACTCTCATGAGTAGTAGGAGTGATAAACGAATGAATAAATGAATGACTTTTCTTCCTGGTCCACAGGCTTAGATTTTCCCAGTCTGGATATCAAGGGCATTCCATGCAGTGAGACTTTAAAGTCTCTAGAGAGGGACAGGAACCACCTGAAGTTGTTTCAGCTTAGACGTCCCTTTCCTTAGTAGCTCCTTCCTCCAGGGTGAGGCAGGAAGTGATCGCCAGCTGCCTCCCTGTTGACCAGGCTATGAAACCTTTTACAGTCACTTGGCTTCACTTCTGTGCTGTTTTTTTGGGTGAAGACTTTCTCATTTTCTGGTAAAGCAGATATTTAAGGGGCAGGAAACTCAACATCAAAAGACCGGAACAGAAGAGAGAAATCCTTGCATTATTCGGAACCAGCGAGTATGTATGGTGCAGGCAACTGAAACACCCTCTCTCTCTGCCTTTTTTTTTTTTTTTTTTGCATTGAACACTCTCAGTGTCTTCAAATTCCTAAGATTTTTTTCTTAACATCTCACATTTTATTAAATAAATCCAACCGCTGTGTATCACCGTCATTCTTAGCAAAGAATACATTAGCTATTTTCTTTGCAAAACAAAACCTAACTCTCATCTAAATAAAATCTACATGCAAAAGTAAGTGATATTTTCTGATCAGTACAATAGAATTGCCGTAAGTTTGGTCAAGGCTCTTGGCCTGCTTTCTAAAGATGTCCCTAGTATCTAGAGAGATCTCAAAATCTGTAATCATCGTGGGAAAACTTTTTCTGTGTTCAGAAATTCAGGATGACAAGAACTATCATTTTGGCAATATCTTAGAGGAGAATCTGAAAAGCTTCTGGCCACAGAAACGCCTAAATATGCTGTAGAAAAATAATAAGTGTGGTGTTAAAAGCACAGCTGAAATGAGTGAAGGAAATCCCAGAGACTGAGTATAAAGAAGGTCTGAGCACAAGAAAAAGTGCTGACACTTGGCTGCCTGAGCAGTGGGAGATCCGCTGAGGGAAAACAAGGTCACCTCAAGTTTCATAACCACAGACCACACTTCACATGGGTTTGGAGCTTAAGTTTACTCACCTGTATGGTCTAGGAAAGCTACGTCAATTAATTAACATAAAAGGAGTCCCAATATCACAAGAGCACTTGCCAAAACAAATAAAAAACTTCTCTATAGAAACCAATCTTCAACCTCTGCCACACAAGATTCCCATAGTGAGCACATTCTTTTAAATAGAAGCTCACAATCGAAAATTACAAAATGCGTTTAGAGACATGAGCAAGAGTGCACTACAAACAAGAATAAACAGACACAACGGGCGGCACAGGTAATGAGTCCCCAGAACCCCCAGAACATCAGCTAATAGAACTATCAGAAGGAGGATATGAATTGTTGTTAACATAACTGAAATGTAAAAGGAGAAATCAAAATTTTGAGAAAATAAATTTAAAAGACCAGGCATATTTGAAAAAGTACCATATGTTACCTCTAGAAATGAAATGTGTAACATTAAAAATAAAAACTTAATAAACGGGGCAAAGATTGCCAAAGAGAGAATTGATCATCCAGGAAGTGGTTTGGAAACAAATTACCTAGAATGCAACACAGAAAGATAAAGATATTTCTTACATGAAAGAGAACTTAAATACATGGAAGATGAAATGAGAAGCTCTAGCATGCATTACATAGGAGCTCCAGAAAGAAAGAATGGGGTAAGAGGCAATATTTTAAGATAGTGTCTGACAGTTTTCTAGAACAAGATGAAAATCAGATTCAGGTAGCATAATTAGTTCAAAACGAGATATAAAAATCTAGAGGCATTATAAGGAAAAGCTGCCAAAGGGCAAAATCAATTGGGAAAAAAAAAAGAAAAGATTACTTTCAAAGAAACAACAGTTTGACAGCAGACTTAAAAAAAAAAAAAAACTTTTACTTTAGGTTCAGGGGTACATGTGAAGGTTCGTTATATAGGGAAATTTGTGTCACGGGGGTTTGTTGTACAGACTATTTCATCACCCAGGTATCAAGCCCAGTATCCACTAGTTATCTTTTCTGCTCCTCTCCCTCCTCCCACCCTCCACCTTCAGGTAGACCCCAGTGTCTGTTATTCCCTTCTTTGTGTTCATGAGTTCTCATCATTTAGCTCCCACTTACATGTGAGAATGTGTGGCATTTGGTTTTCTGTTCTTGCATTAGTTTGCTTAGGATAATAGCCTCCAGCTCCATTCATGGTCCCACAAAGGACAAGATCTCATTCCTTTTTTATGGCTGCATAGTACTATATGATGTATGTATACCACATTTTCCTTATTCAATCTGTCATTGACGGGCATTTAGGTTGATTCCACATCTTTGCTATTGTGAATAGTGCTGCAATGAACATTCACGTGCATGTGTCTTTACTGTAGAATGATTTATATTCCTCTAGATATATACCCAGTAATGGGACTCCTGGGTCAAATGGTAGTTCTGTTTTTAGCTCTTTGAGGAATTGCCATACTGCTTTCCACAGTGGTTGAACTAATTTACGCTCCTACCAACAGTGTATAAGTGTTCCCTTTTCTCTGCAACCTTGCCAGCATCTGTTTTTGTTTATTTTTGATAATAGCCATTCTGACCAGTATGAGATGGTATCTCATTGTGGTTTCAATTTGCATTTCTCTAATGACCAGTGATGTTGAGTTTTTTTCATATGCTTGTTGACTGCATGTGTGTCTTCTTTTGAAAAATGTCTGTTAATGTTCTTTGCCCACTTTTTAATAGGGTTGTTTTTGTCTTATAAATTTAAGTTCCTTATAGATGCTGGATATTAAACCTTTGTCAGATGCATAGTTTGCAAATATTTTCTCCCATTCTATAGGTTGTCTATTTACTCTCTTGATAGTTTCTTTTGGATGGCAGACTTTTCGGTGACAACAATAGAAGTCAGAAGTCACTGGGATATTTTCAAAGCACTGAGAAATAAGCAATGATCTTAGTCTGCAAACTAAAAATAGTAAAGAAACAAACTAAGGCTAAGTTGCAGATCATGCCTAGTGTTACTCATATGAAGTTATACATGTATGAAGAGCTGGATCCATGGAGGTGTGACTTGGGCAGTTACACAGGGTGCCGCTCTTGGTCTGATGCTCTGTTGTCACAAGCTTGAAATTCTTAATAATGTTTTAACAAGGAGCTCTGAAGTTCTGTTTCTCACTGGGCCTTACAAATTATGTAGCCAGCCTTGTATGTAGGCCCTGAAGACCTGGTATCACTCAGAAACAAGGAAATCGCATTCTATACAATGTGTGGTCAGGCTTAGTAAAATGAAGCAAATGTTAAGCAGAGAAACCTAGGTCTTGTAGCTTGAAAGACAGAAAGAGGGGTTTATGCAAACATATTTGATAAACTTTGTCCACTGAAAGTGTTCAAGTCCTTTGTACATGAGAAGGGAAGGATGAGCCAAGCACCGGCAAGAATGGTCCCAAGAAGGAATGAGAAAGTCACCAAAATGCCAACATCTGTTAAGCCAGGTGATTTGCACCATGTACCAAGGATCTGAACATAAGAGAGGAGTAGATAGTGCTCCCTTTAGCAGCATAGGTACTAAAAAAAGGAGTGGAGAGAGAAACAGACAGTGGCAAGAAAAATGCCTTTCTCAAAGACATCTAGATAAACACTCACCATCAGAAGTATCAGTGATATCTGAATATTGGTACAAATCAGACAGCTAGAAACAATAATACCAGTTTAAAAAATCTAGGTCCTTCAAATTAGACAAGGCCCTTATAATAGGTATAATGAGGAAAAGATACTGTAAAACCTTTCATGATCAATCTAATTGTTCAATTCTTTCATTATCAGGAGATTCGGGTAATATTAGAAGGTACCTTAAAAGGGAGGAAAAAGGAGCAATATTAGTATGAAACTATCTGATTCATTATTTTTTCAAAGACTCAAGTTTATGGCCCTCGATGATAATGGATTCTATCCATTAAAACAGTTTTTCACTATTACCCTGACTTCTGAGGAAATGTGGAGTTAATTGGTCTATTTGCATTGTATTTGCAGCCATCTTGGTCCATTAGACAGAAAAGTATCACAACATCTATTAGATAGTACCATTTTTAGGACTAAAAATTCAGAGTTTCAAAACAGGCTTGTAATATCAAAACTAAAATGGAAATTTTTCATCTGTAGTTTTTCCAAGGTTGTGTGGGGTTAGATGTGATAACATGGTGCACCAAGGTGAAGTGGCAGATGAGAGAGACAGAGAATACAATGACTGCAAGTCTGTATTTGGTTCTGGGAGCCAAGTCTGCAGTAGATCTAGAGAGAGTTTTTATAGGAACTATCTGCGACTATCCTAGTTTAGGTTGAAAGAGGAGATTTCCCAGGAAGTAAAATTAATAAGCATTTGGAAAGAGACTATTTGGATATAAGTCACGATTTTCATACTGGAATGGGAGGGTATGGAGTCTCCTCTTCTGGATGTCTTTGAAAAAAAATCAATTCTTTAATAGTTGAGGACACTATTTCCCAAGCTGGGATTTCTGTTCTGTGTGGCATGGTAACAGGAGTGGTACTTGGGGGACTGGAGGGATGAGTTCAGAAAGGGCTCCCCACATGGGTTGGCATGAGCATTGCCGGAGTGTCCACCAAGCCTGCATGTCTCCTTCCTTCTACTCACACTTCTCCTCATTTCCCTAGAAAACTCCCTGAAAACGCCTATCTTGGCCAGTTTCTCTCCTTGCTGGGACTAGCTGTGATGTGGAGGTGACAAGATGTTTGTGCATAAAAGGCTTAAATAAGGGACATTAAGTATCAGGGCTTGCCTAAAGATGCAAAAAATGGTCGTGTCATCATGGCCTCCTCTTAAATTCTTAGACTCTTCCTCCTTCGAAGATTCCTTCAGATTTGCTTTGGTGGCCAAACGTCTGCTCCTTCCTCTTTTTTTGTACAGTGTCTTGAGTAAACAATGACACTTCTAGCCAGCATTTGCTTCTCTGCGTGCTTTGAGGATGTAGATTTTGTGGAAATAAAAAAAAAGAGAGAGAACTTTCTGCTGCTTTCCCATGCAAGGAAGGCTGAGGTTTAGCAGTGGTTTGTGTGTTGGGTTTTAGCCAGATGCCCTGGATGAACCACATGGATGAATTCTTTTTCAGCAGGATGAGTGCATCACCTTGGCTACCCAATGAATCAGACCTAATTAAAAGACAAAGTAAGCACACTGCAAAAATGCTAAGGATAAGAGGAAGAGGGTAAGATGAGGTAAGTAATGGGTCATTAAGATAATGAACACAAAGGGGACAAAGGATAGCAATTTTAAAGTCCTGGCATTGCATTCTAGAAGAGACCTGGTTCACTCTTCTCCCATACGTGGTCTAGTTGGTGAGGACAGCAACCCAGGGATGAATGAGCAGCTTAGGACAAGCAGTCAAACTTTCAAAGTCAAGATCTTTAAACGCTCTTAGGAGCTGGTGCCCACTGAACAGAGAGGGACACTTTTTCAGGCGTGGCACAGATATGCAGGAAGTGTTTGAACATTTCCAGGAAGTTTCTGGTGGAAAAAATCAGAAAGCAATTTCGCCCTCACGTTTATTGCTAATTTATGTGCTCTGTATTGACTGGATGTGCCTGTTGCATAGCAACCCATGGACATGTTTGCAGGAGTCATAATTTTTAAGAAGGAAAGTCCCTGCTGTTTGACTTCGAATCCATCCTCTGCAAATGCGGTGTTTCAGGGGACCATTTTGTATGCCTGCTTGTTTTCCCTTCCATCAAAGCTTCTTTTTTGGAGTCTCGCTCTGTCACCGAGGCTGGAGTGCAGTGGCGCAATCTTGGCTCACTGCAACCTCCGCCTCCTGGGTTCAAGTAATTCTCCTGCCTCTGCCTCCCAAATAGCTGAGACTACAGGCGTGTGCTACCAAGCCCAGTTAATTTTTGTATTTTTAGTAGAGATGGGGTTTCGCCATGTTGGCCAGGCTGCTCGCAAACTCCTGGCCTCAAGTGATCGGCCCACCTCTGCCCATAAAAGCTTCTGGTAATGGCTCATGAGTGTGCCATTCGGAAGGACTCTTCAGTCAAGCCTTCAACAACCTAACCCTAGAGTTAAAACTGGTAAACTTTGTATAGAACTGTAAAACTAATGACACTTGCGTGAATCTTTACACTGCAGTAATAGAGGATATGCATGTTACATACATAGGCACAGACACACCCGGCCTGCCAAGAACAAACATGTCATTATTATTTTTTAGCCTGAAATTTTAAAAGTTCTTTAAAACACACGGTTTGAGGAGCTTAACACAAAGACTCAAGGCCGTAAGAATTACATTTTCATCCAGGTGCTGTGGTTCATGCCTATAATCCCAGCACTTTGGGAGGCTGCGGCAGGAGGATTGCTTGAGGCCAGAAGTTGTAGACAAGCCTGGTCAACATAGTGAGACCTTGTCTCTACAAAATACTAAATAATAAATTAAAATAAATTTTTTTTAAAAAGCTCAGGAATGGTGGTTCACACCTGTAATCCCAGCACTTTGAGAGGCTGAGGTGAGTGGCTCACCTGAGGTCAGGAGCTCGAGACCAGCCTGGGCAACATGGCAAAACCCTGTCTCTGCAAAAAAATACAAAAATTAGCTGAGAGTTGTAGCATGCACCTGTAATCCCAGCTACTCGGAAGGCTGAGGCACAAGAATCGCTTGAACCTGAGAGGTGGAGGTTGCAGTAAGCTGAGATCGTGCCACTGCACTCCAGTGTTGGTAATAGAGCCAGACGCCATCTCAAAATAAATAAATAAGTAAATAATTTAAAAAATTTTTTAATTAAAATAAAAGCCAAGTGTGGTTGGGTGCACCTGTGGTCCCAAGTACTCAGGAGGCTGAAGCCAAAGGATGGCTGGAGCCCAGGAGCCAGAGGCTACAGTGAGCCACAATCATGCCACTGCACTCCAGCCTGGGTAACAGAGCAAAACCCTGTCCAAAAAAAAAAAAAAAGAATTACATTTTCTTAGAAATTCACAGGAGATGACAAAGTAGAAAAACATATATATGTGTGTTTTGTTAGAAAACACTTGAGGACTACACATCTGAAGGGAAGGCTGAACTGGCATGATTGGCATGGCGACATCATCATGGATCGGTGGGTGGCCCACCCAGGCCAGAGGGACTGTCTCCAGGAAGGTGAATCATGGTTTTCCTAGCAGTTTGCACCACTGCCCAATCTTCCTTATCATTCTTTCACTTCCCCTTTTATCCACAATCAGAAGCAGTGGACAAAAAGAAGGGAAGGAGGAGCCCGAGGACTCCAGGACTCATAGCGGAACTGAAGCCACCGTCACTGCAGGGCAGGGAAGCACATGACCTCTGGCAGGAAGAGGGGTTAGAAACTCCAGCCCCAGGTTTGAATCCTGAGGCCCCTAAGAATGTTTTCACTTTCAACAGCCATCACCTGCAGCTCTTTATCAGCAGTATTGCCTGCAGAGTAGTACAGCTGCTTTGCTTGCACAGAGAAGGAACCTATAGCCTGCAGGAACATATGTCCCCCTGGGGCAGCCCTTAACAGATGACCAATGAATGGCTGATGATGAGAGCATGCAGCCCCAGCTCCTTGCCTTGGGTGGGGCAGCTCTGAGGCACTTATACTTTAGAGCTGCCCTGGGGACAGGACTCCCTACAGAATTTGCAAGACCCAGTGCAAAATGAAAAAGCAGATCCCTTGTTCAAACAGTATGAAGAATTTCAAGACAGCAACAACAGCAGAGCATCAACCCAAGTGTAAGGCCTAAGTGTGGGGCCCGTGTGACTGCACAGGCGCACGGCCCTGCAGCCATCCCTGCTTGCAGAATCAGGTGTAAGCCACCCTCTGAGATCATCCCTGGCCCCTTCCCAGACCAGCTTCCCCAACTCTTTTACCAGGTTCCTCCAGGGAGCCCTTCCTTACAAATCTCCTGCACACAAATCCTCATCTGAGAGTCTGCTTCTGTGTCCCCAGTTAAGATAGATCTTTGGGCATGCTACCGCAGCATCTTTAAACCTCGGTTTGCTCTGTAAACCAAAAAATATCTGAGAGGAATCTCAACCAATTTAGGAAGTTTATTTTACCAAGGTTAAGGACACATGCCCTGGAGGAAGGTCTGTGCCTTTCTCCAAAGATGATTTTGAAGGCTTATTTAAAGGGGAAAGGGCAGATATTGGAAGAAAAGGAAGAAATTTTTTAAAGGTGTGGGTAGGTAAGAGACAAACTTTGCATTCTTTTGAGTCTTTGTTCAGCTTTTCATTAAATAGACAATTTACATGTGAGGGGGTGGAGGAATATTCACTTATGCCTTCATTTTTACATCAGAAAAAAACAATCAGATATGCTTTTGTCTCAGGTGAGCAGAGGGATGACTTTGAGTTCTGTCCTTTGTCCTGCACCCATGAAGATAAGCTATCCATTTACATTGTCAGGTAATTCAACAGAACCATTTTAGGGTAAAGATCTTGCAGACCACAAGGAATTTCCTGGTGGGCAAATTGTGAAAGGGATCTGTAGCTTTTTTATCTTTGTAGCTATCTTATTTAGGAATAGAATGGGAGGCAGGTTTGCCTGACGCAGTTCCCGGCTTGACTTTTCCCTTGGATTAGTGATTTTGCGGTCCTGAGATTTATTTTCCTTTCACACCTTCATATATAAAATTCGGGGTGGGGGAATAGAGTGTATTTTGTAGAGCTGTTGGGAGAATTGTGTGAGATAATGCACGCAAAGTGCTTAGTACCATGCCAAGCACGTAACAAATGTTCAGTGAATGCTAGTTAACATCATTTTTATCGTCATCACCACTAAAATTAAGCATCCTTGCCTTAACAAGGGAAATAAGAGTAAATATAACCCTGCCTGTTCCCTCTTTCCCTACCCTGGGAAGTCCATGCCCAAGCCTTTGGCCCAAGTTTCATCAGTAAAATTTTTTGGGGGGAACGGAGTCTCACTTTGTTGCTCAGGCTGGAGTGCAGCTCACTGCAAGCTCCACCTCCCAGGTTCAAGTATATCTTCTCCCTCAGCCTCCTGACTAGCTGGGACTACAGGCGCACACCACCACGCCCGGCTAATTTTTTATTTTTAGTAGAGATGGGGTTTCACCATATTGGCCAGGCTGGTCTTCAACTCCTAACCTCCTGATCCACCTGCATTGGCCTCCCAAAATGCTGGGATTACAGGCGTGAGCCACTTGACAAAGACAGAGGTGGCTGAGAATGAAAGCAGAGAAGTCCCTTTGACAAAACAATTATAAAAGAGCAAATCTGATTTAAGGGTGCTTAAAGCCCTGTTTTCCTTGGCCAAAACAAATTAAGTTTCTTTTTTTTTTTTTTTTTGAGACAGAGTCTCGCTCTGTCACCCAGGCTGGAGTGCAGTGGCATGATCTCAGCTCACTGCAACCTCTGCCTCCTGGGTTCAAGCAATTCTCCTGCCTCAGCCTCCCGAGCAGCTGGGTTTACAGGCATGCGCCACCACACCCAGGTCAATTTTTTAGTAGAGATGGGATATATATATATACACAGTATTTTTAGTAGAGATGGGGTTGCACCATGTTGGCTAGGCTGGTCTCAAACTCCTATCCTCAAGTGATCCGCCGCCTTGGCCTCCCAAAATGCTGGGATTACAGGGGTGAGCCACTGTGCCTACCCCTACAAATTAAGTTTCTGATAAGATGACTTGACAAAATTCTTATAGAACTCCTAGGGGTCATCAACTTCGTAAGTTATTCCAAAACAGAGACAAATGCTTTACTGCAATGGACAGTGTACATGGTTTGAAGAGAGTAGCTGGTGGTTAGTATCCTCTTTACTCATATGTGAACTCCTGAGCTGTCCACACAACAGAATAAGCAGACATTTCATTTGAAATCTCAAGTCTTCTGATACTTGTCTCAAAAGAGGGAAGCCGGTGACCTTAAGAACTTCCCAAATGCTGTGGTTGCCTCCCTTACCAGACTCCCTTAGACTGCTTGAGGCCGAGGTAGGAGACAGGGTTGGACTGCTCTGTAAGCACACCCACACATCCTTTCTGCCCCAGAAGCTTCACGACTCATTGCAGAGTACATCCCTATAATTCACAGTAGATCACAGAATCTCAGTTAGAGCCAAGGCTCTACCCAAGCCAAGACTTCATTAACCACTTCAAACCAAACAGAAGAAAACAGGCTTCCAGAGAGCAGAGAGGTTGGTTTTACTTAATCAAGCACATATTGACTGACCTTCTTCTCAGCCCTAACTGTGCAAGGCATCTGAGGATACTAAAATATCTAAGACACAACCCTGCCTTCAAGGAGCTCACAGGTTCAGCTAACTGAGGCAGGAAGGCCCAATCCTCTTTGACTGGGGCAAGACTTGATGGTTGGATGACCTGTGCATGACAAGTGACCTGTAAATGAGGAACACATTTAGTGGTGACTGGGCTCCAAGGCAGCCCCAAGCCCCCACTCCACCAGTGACACAGCTGAGGGTGCCACTAGGAATAACAGATCCAGTTCATCTCAACACATTACTCACAAACGAACTTAAGAACCCAGCTCTATTGATAGGTGGGGGCTTGAGTCACAAATGGGTTCCCACCTGACTTTTCCTGGCCAAGACTTGAGCAGGAGGATGCTTTAAATCAGCAAAGCTTCAAGTCTTCTGTGAGGATGCTTCCAAGGCTCAGCAAGGGGCCCGTGGGGAGAACAACAGGACTCACTGAGTGGCAGTTCTATTAAGTGGAACAGTCTTGTTCAAAAGAACATTTGGGGTTTCATTTGACTCTCACCCAGAATAAGATCCAAGTGCTTATCACTGTGACGTGGCACTAAGAGGCACTGTTCCCATTTTGTAAAAGTGATTTTTTTTCCCACTTGATTTGCTTCACAAAGGCTGGTGTTGTCACTATTTTGAGGTGGGTAAATTGTGGCAAATGCCATTTGCGGTCTCCTCTCTGCAGGAACTCTATTACTCTCGGACACCAATGGAGTCCCTCGGGGGCACTCTTGTCCCCGAGAGTACTTTCAGCGAATTCTCTGTGCATTGCTCATCAACCAGTGTTCAGGCTGGTCCCCCCACAGCCATTTCTGTGTCTTGCTCACCTATCTCAGAGGACTGGGAGAGGACCCCTGCCCAACCTTGCAGATGGGAGCGCCATCTCTGCGGCTGAAATGGTAAGAGCCAATACCTGGCTGAGACACTTCAGAATAAGGAATCTCTGCCTTCTCAAATTCAACTTATTCCTCACATACCATAACGCACATCAGCATTGCAGAAAGCGTAAAGAGGATTCCACAGTTCTCAGATGTCTTCATTTGTATTCTAGCTACCCATCTACGGAAGTTATTTACCACTGAAGAATTTGTTTAGTGAGACCCCAGAATGTCATGTTTTCCTTTGTATTTGTCGGGATTGTCCAGAGAAACAAAACCAATAGTATGGATAGAGAAAGAGAGTGAAATTTATTTTAGGGAATTGGCTCAATTAATTGTGGAGGTTGGTGAGTTTGAAATGTGCAAGCCAGGCTGCAGGCTAGAGTCCCAGGGAAGAATGGATGCTGCAGTCTCAAGTCTGAAGGCCATCTGGAGGTAGAATTCCCTCTTCCTTGGGGGAGATCAGTTTTTTCTCTTAAGGCCTTAGACTGATTGGACGAGGCCCACCCACACTACAGAGGGCCATCTGCTTTAGTCAAAGTCTACTGATTTGAATGTTAATGTTATCTTTAAAAACACCTTCACGGCAACATCTACAGTAGTGTTTAACTGAACAACTGGGCACCATAGCCCAGCGGAATGGACACACACACAACTACCCATCACATCCCTGTAGTATTTGTTTGTAATCCTTGTAACTAAGTGAGTTCAATGTACTTGTAAAGAGGGCTGAAGACTAAGTGAGGTACAGGTCCTTATAAGGCAAAACCTTCAAAACATAAGCTTCTCAGAGATTGTAAGCTACTAGAGGGAAGGGACCATGAACCACGCTGGATTGGATTTTGAACCACACTGCCAAGCCAAGGGCACAGCACTAGATACTTCCAGAATAATAAGTGCACCATGGACTCTGAATCCAGATGATCTGGGCTCCCACTCCAGCTCTGCAACAGGCTGGATGTGTGATCTTAGTCCAGTTATGTCATCGATATGTGCTTTAGTTTTGTCATCTGAAAATAGGAATACTGAAGTGGGACCATTGCTGTGAAGATTAAATAAGTTACTATTTGTAAAATGCTTAGACCACTGAATAAAAGTCTTCCCGCTGATGAGCAACAGATTACACATTGCGTTAGCACTGCTCATTTTGTTGCCTTACTTTCCCCAAAAGTTTAAGGCTGTTCCCGTGGAGGAAAGATCAAGGCCTGTTAGGAGGTTCTTGCATCCCTTGGTCCATGACAAGAGTCCAAGAATACAAAGGATGAAGGCTCAGGTCTGAACACAGCTGCCCATCCACAGGCAGCCCAGTCATTGACTACAAAATGCAGCCCTCCTGCCATGGAATTCTGCCCAGGATGTGAGATCTTCACAAGCTGTAACTGCTCACAATCACCAGGGAGAGCAGAGCGCAGTGTTTTTCCAGAATTTGCCTTTATCTTTGCAAGAAATGTGGAATAAATGACCTCTTCTCTCTAGATAGTCCTTTTTTCCTATCTCTAAAGTTGAGTTTTCTCAAGTTTGGTATCAGGCCTAGTGCACTGAGCACTTCCTATAAAAGCCGATTATTTAATTCAGTATTATGTTTGTTGT
This sequence comes from Homo sapiens, assembly GCF_000001405.40. Lineage (NCBI taxonomy): Eukaryota > Metazoa > Chordata > Mammalia > Primates > Hominidae > Homo > Homo sapiens. The sequence goes on from NC_000001.11 coordinate 234,857,148, forward strand.
CATGGTGATAAGAATGATGTCTTGGCTTCAGCCATCAATGTTAGACGCAGTCCAATTTGGAAGCCAGAATAGGACAAGGAGGATAGTAATGATGATGCTAATAACAATGTTCTAGGCCAGGCATGGTGGTTTATTCCTATAATCCCAGCGTTTTCGGAGGCTAAGGTGGAAGGATCGCTTGAGGGCTGAAGTTCGAGACCAGCTTGGGTAACATAGTGAGACCTCATCGCTACAAAAAATTGAAAAAATTAGCCAGGTATGCCTGTAGTACCAGCTACTCAGTAGGCTGAACTAGGAGAATCTCTTGAGCCCAGGAGATTGAAGCTGCAGCAAGCTATGATCACGCCATGGCACGCCAGACTGGGCAACAGAGTAGAACCCTTTCTCTTAAAAAAGAGAAAAAGTTCTTATTCCTAGGATTTTTTAAAATCTTGGAGTAAGATCACAGAAGCACCAAGGACTATTCATCATTAAGTGCAAAAGAAAAGTCAGTCTGGAAGAGAATATAATGAGCTCAAGTACCTTTACAATCCATCAGCTTGGTTGAAGTAATTCCTGAGTTTCTAATTCTTATCAAAGACACTGCTGAGTAACTGGTACGGTTGGTTGGGGAACCCTTTTGTCAGGGTCTGGAGGGAGTAGGGAGAGGGTGGCTGGCAGCATTTTTCCCCATTGTAGTTCCTGAGAGAAATGTCAGCTTCACTCCACTGCAGAGCCTTCCAGCCTGAAGCTGGCTGTGGCAATCGGTTGGAGAGGACCAGAGCTTGGCTGGGAGCTGCCATTGCCATCTCCCAGCCCTGAGTCCCCTCTGAGCCTTCAGCACCTGATACTGCTCCTCAGTGGGTTGGGACCCCTCCAATCCACTAGGCAAAGTGGGGGCTATAGTATGAGCGGGGGTTGGGGTAGGGGTAGGAGTGGGGAGGTGCTGCAAATTCAAAACCCATCTCTGGGGCTGAGAAACATAGAATAGACCTGTCTGGGAACACAGACTCTTTCCAAGTAGAATCCTTTCTTCAAAGCATAGCTCAATGGGAAACCCATACACAACGCGGAGCTGCTTTCATTCAAGCAAGAAGAAGGAGGTGTCCAGAGCTCCACTACCTCCATCCTCCTCCTCCCTGGACCCTACAGCAGCTAATTCCCAGCCAAGTTGCCTTCAGAAAGTTAATTGCCCTCCTGAGCCTTCATTTCTTCATCCATAAAAGCAGAGAGAATGATTTCGAGGCATGCCTTGAGGACATACAGACTGCACCAAGCATAACGCATGGGTGCGCAGTAACAGCTCCCTCCTTCCTCTTATTTGTAGTAGACGAAGACGAAGAAGAAAATAAACTTTGTTCCCTAAAAGAGCCCCAAGTCGCAGAAGAACCCCAAATCCTTGGTTGGATAAACCATACTGGTGGCACTAAAGGTGTTAGGGTGCTGGGGCTGCACCTGCCCATTCTGCCTTTGACTGATCCCAGAGACAGAGCAGAATGGGCTCACTGTTTCTCACTGGGCTCTTGAAGGCCACCTGTGAATTCCATTTTTCTTTCCATCTCCAAAGGAACAGATGAGTGCTAGATCTCCATTTCTTTCCCTCATGCTCTAAGAGAGGAAACAGCTGGGGGCTTTGCTCTGATGAGTTCTGAGGGGTGGTCAAAGCTGAGGACCCATGGCCCTCAGTGGCCAGTGCCCCCCTGCACTGCTCCTTTCTGAAGCTGCAGGTTTTGTAGCCAGTGAGAACCCTGCTTCCCACTGAATTTAGGCCTTTGGCATTTCACTTCTGTGCTCTAGGACCTGAAGGAATCCAACCACAGATGAGCTCATCACAAATTCTTTTGCAGGTAACTGCTTGTGCTCTCACACATCTTTATTCTTGGTGCAGAATGAGTTCCTGAAATTATGTTACATCCCTCAAATTCCACCATGTTGAAGGATCCCTAATTCTCAAGAAGCACACTCTTAAGCATCCCACCCCAATTATGGTTTTCCTAAAATCTATTTGGGACTGCCTTCTTCTAATTTCTAAAATACTCATTTTGGGTACTTACCCAAATAACATTTGTATTCTTTACATTAATTAGGCTTTCTGAAAAAAGTAGCATGGGACTGGTGCAATGGCTCATGCCTGTAATCCCAGCACTTGGGGAGCCCGAGGCGGGAGGATCATCTGAGGTCAGGAGTTCGAGACCAGCCTGACCAATATGGCGGAACCCCGTCTCTACTAAAAATACAAAAATTAGCCAGGCGTGGTGGTGTGCCCCTGTAGTCCCAGCTACTCAGAAGGCTGAGGCAGGAGAATCACATGAACCCGGCAGGCGGAGGTTGCAGTGAGCTGAGATCACACCATTGCACTCCAGCCTGGGCAACAGAGCCAGACTCCATCTCAAAAAAAAAAAAAAGGTAGCATGGTACACACTAACGTAATAGATAACAACAGTATTATGTACAAGTATCAACCAGGCAGAGGATAGAGTGAGAAAAATGGTGTATCCTTCAAGAGTTGTTTGGGTTTTTTTACAACAGCAACACAAAAAATACCTTCAAATAAACTTACTAACATGCATGCAAAATGCCTAAGAGAGAAACTAACCTTTAAAAATGCAAAGGAACAATAGAACCAATGGGAACACATACTACCTTCTAAGAGAGAAAGATTCATTACCACATCACTTCTCCTAAAAAGAATTTATAAATTTTATGTGACCTCAATACAAATAATCTTTTTCAAAAAAAACCTAGATAAGCTGACTCTAAAGTTCATATGGAAAAATGAAACAAGCAAGAATAGCCAGGCAGTCTAAGCAGGATGTGCAGAGGGTGTCCATGTCCTCTGCTTCACCATTTGACGTCAGAGGACCAAAAACCCCACCCTTGGATTGTGCTAACCCCACTGCCATGTCTTGAACATGGGTCCCCTAGAGAGGCATGAAGCTCAATTGCACACACGCATGTTTCTCCTTTCATAAATGTTCATGACTCCTCCTCCAGCTTATTGAATATGTATATTTGACAACCCCATTTAATATAAATATCTGTCTTATTCTTCTGACTCTCAAAGTTTCTGTTTCTGGTTTCTGGCCAGAGACTATGCTTCCCAACCTGTCAGAATGGCCACCCTGCAGGCTGCAGCCCTTTATGTGAAATAAAGCTCTCCATTCCAAATTTAAAAAAAAAATAGCCAGGTAAAGAATAGAAAAAGAAAGGAAAAGCAAAAACAGCAAGAAACAAAACGAAAAGGAATGAGAAAAAATAGCTCTATCACATTTCAAAGTGTATTGTAAAGTCTCAGTAATGAAAACAGCATAGTACTGGCCAACGGACAGACATCCCAAACAATGGAATAAACTAGAAAATGCAGAAATAGACCCAATTATAATCAGAGATTCTGTAAATTATGAAGGTGATATCTCTAACCACTAGAGGAATGGTATTACTAAACGATATCAGAACAACTGGAAAAGAGTTAAGTTCAATCCATGCCTCACATTTTTCCCCAGAGTCAAATCCAAATGGATTAAAGATACAAACTCTTTTTTTTTTTTTTGAGATGGAGTTTTGCTCTTGTTGCCCAGGCTGGAGTGCAATGGTGCAGTCTCAGCTCACTGCAACCTCCACCTCCTGGGTTCAAGCAATTCTCCTGCCTCAGCCTCCTGAGTAGCTGGGATTACAGGCACATGCCACCACATCCAGTTAATTTTGTATTTTTAGTAGAGATGGGGTTTCTCCATGTTAGTCAGGCTGGTCTCCACCTCCCAACCTCAGGTGATCCACCTGCCTTGGCCTCCCAAAGTGCTAGGATTACAGGCATGGGCCACCATACCTGGCCACCTGGCCAAGATACAAACTCTTGAAAAATGAAAACTCCAGCCTGGGCAACATGTATCTCTACAAGAAGTACAAAAATTAACCAGGCATGGTGACACGTGCCTGTAATTTCAGCTACCCAGGAGGCTGAGGCAGGAGGATCACCTGAGCCCTAGGAAGTCAAGGCTGCAGTAAGCCAAGACTGTGCTACTGCCCTCCAGCCTGGGTGACAGAGCAAGATCTTGTCTCAAAAAATAGAAAAAGGAAAAGGAAAAGAAAAGAAAAGAAGCCATAGAAGAACTAGAAGAAAATATCGGCAAATTCCTTTAGAACTTTGGAGAATAGAAGGCCTTTCTTTTATCCAGAATTCATACAAAAAAAAGATTACTATATTATACCACCTAATTTTTAAAAAACTTAGACATCCACAAAACATAAGCAAAATTAAAAGACAAACAATAATGTGGAGTGACTCATATCCCAGAGAGCCAATCTTTCCTTAACACACAAATAGCTACTAGGCATGGTTAAGGAAAAAGACCAAAGTGAACAAGACAGTTTTTCTTTAGATGGGCAAAGGAGATGAAGAGGAAGCTCATAGAAAAGGAGATGCAAATGGGTCTTGAAAGAATGGAATTAAAGTGAGTGCTCCATCTCACTTTAATAAGAGAATCACAAATTGAAACTACAATGAAATGCCTGCATGGCAAGGCTATGGAGAAAGAGAGACTCTCATTCTTTACTAGTGGCAGTGCATAGTGTACACTCTGTTGAAGACGTCTGAAAACCCTTACCAAAATTATAAATATGTTTACCCTTTATCTCAATAATGCCACTTGCCTTAATTTATTCTACCAGTATACCTACATGTATAGGAAGCATCCTGGGTAGCATGGTTCGTAGTAGCAAAAGATTGGAAGCAAATCAAATGTCTGTAATAGAAACCAGTTAGATAAATTTACGATGTGTCCATAACTAGGAAACTATTAAGCTGTAAAAAATGAATGAGGACGTTCTTTATGTACTGATTTGAAAGATGTCCAAGATATATACACAGGTAAGTGAAAAGAGCAAAGTCCAAACCAGTTTGCACAGAATGCTAACTTCTGTCAGCCTTGCCACATGGGTATTTTATTATAGTTTTAATTTGCATGTCTCTGAACCTAAGTGAGATTGAGTATTTTTTCATTCTCTCAAAGGCCGCTGCAGTTCCTTTCTGTGAAAGGGGGAAAGAAAAAGAAAAAATATATATGTACAAAGTTATACACACACATTTGTTTGTATATCATAAAGACACCCAAGAAATTAATATAAGTGGTTACTTGGGTTGGGGTTAATGGGAGCAAGGGTAGAAGTCATGGTTTTTATAGTTTTGATTTGTGAACCAAGAAAATGAATTATCTGTTCAAAAAGTAAACGTGAACGAAACAAGTCTTTCCCTACCAGTTCCTCAGGCTCTTGCTAAACCTATCATTTTCACATTTGCCAAATATTTCTCCCAGATCCAAATGTGACCCCGGAGGGATGGGGCAGGGTCAAGAATGAAGGGGCAGCCAGGGATGGCCCATGAGACCCACAGGGATCTCTCACGTGGATGGATGTCCTGCATGTTTTTAAAAGATGAGGTCAACAGGTGGGCAGCTGTTTTTCAAGAGGGGCCACTACCTGCTTTGGAACCAAACTGGCCACTGAGTCAGGACCTCTAGGCAAACCAAATTCATTAATAAGACAGTAGGCTCATGAGACCAGAGGGGAAAGAGAAGCCTTCCAAGCCCAGAACATTCCCCCTCCAGCCCTCAGTGCTACAGATGGGTCCAGCCTGATCTGACCTCCCTGTCGTATTTTGAGCTTTTCCCAGGATTCCAAATGGACAACTGCTCTATTGTTTCATTCCTTTATCTGCATTGGGAGGGCAGCCCTCCCCCTCGGGCTTTAAACGTTTTTCCAGCCTCAGGGGTCTCTGGCCACAGCTTTGCTTTACCTTCCTCTGCGGAAAAGCAAAAGCTGGCCAAGGCGCTACAAGATGAGACAGGCACATCTGCCACACATGGAAAGAAGAAAGCAAACTGGAGTTTCCAAAGCCGCCGGTCCCCGCAGGCCTGAGCGCTTGCAGCTTCTGCCTTTGATTCCTCTGATTTTATGAGCTCAGAGCACAACATGTTGGAAGTGAGCAGAGCAGCTGCCCAGGAAAGAATGCACCGGTTCCACGGTTGAGGACTCCAAGGGAAAGCACTGAGCGGCGTGGGGCACAGGCAGGGAGAGAGACGCCAATCCTCCACAAAACATCCGGTTCCCACCAGCCTGGGCTCTAGCCAAGTGAACTAGCTGAGTCGGTCTGGGGAGGTTCCAGTTCCTGGCCTTTTGTCATCGACTGGGGACAATGCATTTGCTATGATTGATGGAGGCCACAGATTTCATCCCCAGCCCCAGCCTGGGCTGCAGGATCCAAGTGAGCACTGGCCTACTGGGGGCTCAAGGCCACAACACTGACCACCAGGGAGGGCTCTGGGAGACAAGAGGCTGGAGGCTGGACTCTACTCCCCTGGGCATCATGCAGAGCCCTTGCCCTCTGTGCCCTGTCCCCTTCCAACCCCTCTGCCCAAGAGAAAGCTCAGAGTCCTTCCACATCCAGAAACACAGGACTGGTTTCTACAAGTCCATTTTTTTCCCCCATAATTAAGGACTGCAGAAGGAAAGATGATTCGGATCTGGCTCGCAAGCTCAATGACTGAGAAAAGGACGCCAGGTTCCCTGGTACTAGTGACTCATACGCTTTTCAGGAGCGTCAAGACACTGTGATACATTTCTCCTGCTCTCCACAAAACTGCTCAAGGGATGAGGGACTCCCATCAGCCAAGGCAAATATACCATTGCTGTCTAAAGTAGCCAGATCACACACACAGAGAGGTCCTGGAAATGCCATTGAGAATAGGACCTTCCTTCACCCAGCCCATTTGGCAGTCCATGGCAGGGAAGCAGCAGAATTGCAGCCTCCGCAGGACTTTTAGGAGCCTGATCCACAGACTAGAGAAATGTACCTCTCCAGGAAAAAAACAGTATAGTCCTCTCATCTCCTGAGACTCCCATCCCAGCCACCTGGCTGGGAATAAACAACTCCTGTGACAAGCAACTCATTGCCTCTCTGAGACCTGGGTGTGCCACTGAGATCCATGACATCCTTCTCCAGGCAGAGCTGACGTGTGTCTCTCTGTAAGTCCCTCCCACTCACTTCATACCTTGGACCCCTAGATGGATCCCTGTGGCAAGAAAAGACCCACTGGTGACTTGCAGAAGTGGGATGTGCTGTGAGCCTCCCCTGCCAAATGCTGCACTTGCTTGCATGAGTTGGAAGTCCCCATCAATCTCTTCATCCACGCCCATTCTTCCACTCCAGTGTTCCTATTTCTTTCTGAAAGTGTGAGCTCCAGAAAACAGTGCAGGCTGGGCAAGGGGCTCACACCTGTAATCCCAGCACTTTAGGAGGCCAAAGCAGCAGGATCAGTTGAGGCCAGGAGTTCAAGACCAGCCTGGGCAACACGATGGGACCCCATCTCTAAATAAATGATTAGCTGGGCATAGCGGCACATTCCTGTAATCCAAGCTACTTAGGAGGCTGAGTCAGGAGGATCACCCCCTCAGGAGTTTGGGGCTGTAGTAAACCATGATCATGCCACTGCTCTCCAGCCTGGGCAACAAAGCAAGATCCTATCTCTATAAAAATAAATAAGCCAGGCATGGTGGCTCACGTCTGTAATCCCAGCACTTTGGGAGGCCCAGGAGGGCGGATCACCTGAGGTCAGAAGTTCGAGACCAGCCCGACCAACATGGTGAAACCCCAACTCTACTAAAAATACAAAATTAGCCGGGCGTGGTGGCACATGCCTGTAGTCCCAGCTACTCGGGAGGCTAAGGCAGGAGAATCACTTGAACCCAGGAGGTGGAGGTTGCAGTGAGCCGAGATCGCACCATTGCATTCCACCCTGGGCAACAAGAGTGAAACTCGTTTCAAAAATAAAATAAAATAAAAAGAAAGAAACAAACAAACAAACACACACACACACACACACACACACACACACAGCACAACCTCTGCCCCACGTCTCTCTGAGCAGCGTGATGGAGGATGCAAGACCAAGTCCCCCTCAGTCACCAAACAATTCAGTGCCTGCTCCATGCCAGGCTCACTATACCCTCCTAACAGTCTTTCTAGCATGGTGGGACTCTGCTGTTTCTGATGGACAAAATATATCAGCCCCATCTTCTCTGGTTTGAAACCCTGGAACTCATGGCCCCTCATAAGTGACTGTGAGACCAGGCTCTGTGTGTCAAGCTGAACTCTCATAGCTGATGGAATGAGCACAGGAGTGAAGCCCCAGGAGGAGGAGGAGGTGAGTAGCTGCAGGCCAGGGCTCAGGCAGCCCGTGGGCTAATGTGTGCCCTCCTGCTGATCTGCTGCATGGCTTTACCAGGCTTAGAAAAAAGCATCCAAGGTTCCTTCAGTGATCCAGATAGTAGAAACACCAGGTCTCAAATGCCTCAGTGCAGCTGCATGTCGCCAGAAGCAGTACTGGGAGGCTCGGTGGATAGGACTCAACATTAGCTGGAAACACAGGCAAGTCAGACTGAGAATCCAGACTGAGTCAGAAGTCCCTGTGTCCTTGCCATGGGTGTATCAGTTATCAGTGGCTGTGTAACAAATTAGCCCAAAACTTAGCACTCAAAATGTGAGCATTTCTTATGTCATAGTCTTTGTGGGTCAGGAATCTGGGAGTGACTTCACTGGATGGTTCTGGCACAGGCTATAGTTCGGATGTCAGCCAAGGCTACTGTCACCTGAAGGCATGACTGGGGTTGGAAGATCTGCTTCTGAGATGTCCCCATGGTCACACAGCCTACAAGTCAATGCTGACTGTTGGGGACCATTAGCCCTCGCTGCATGGGCCTGTTTGTATGGTTTCTTCAATGTCCTCATGAGGTGGCGCTAGCATCCCCCAGAGTAAGTGTTCCAAGAGAACAAGGAGGGAAGCACCGTTTCTTCTTCTTATTATTATTTTTTTCTTTTTTTGAGATGGAGTTTCGCTCTTTTGCCCAGGCTGGAGTGAAGTGGCATGATCTTGCCTCACTGCAACCTCTGTCATCCAGGTTCAAGCAATTCTCCTGCCTCACCCTCCCGAGTAGCCGGACTTATAGGCACTCACCACCACGCCTGGCTAATTTTCATAGTTTTAGTAGAGACAGGGTTTCACCATGTTGGCCAGGCTGGTCTCAAACTGCTAACCTCAAGTGTTCCACACGCCTCGGCCTCCCAAAGTGCTGGAATAAGGTGTGAGTCACCTCACCCAGCCAGAAGCACCACTTCTTCTATAACCCAGCCTCAGAGGTCATAGTCGGTCATCTCTAGAATATCCTATTGGTCACACAGTCAGCCCTATTCAGCGTGGGAAGAGACTACACAAGAGCATGGGTGTCAGCAGGCAAGACTATCTGAGTTCATCTCAGAGGTTGCCTGCCACAATGGCGAGTTCTATCAGGAGGACGTCCCTGAGCTACAGCTGACGTTTGTGTCACCAAAAACCATGGGGCGTCTACACATCTGCACTTCCATATCTCTATGGGTTTGTTTTTTTAACTGCACCATTATCACGTGTGTGTCAAGGGACACATCGGCCTGTTCAGCAGAGGGGCGGAGACTTCTGACTCATTCAGGAATAATGGGGCCAATGCTCGATTCTGCAATAGAGCAAGTAACACCACAAAGAGGGGATAAAAGGCACATCCAGCCCGTCCTCACCTGCATCCTCAGCGGAGGGCCTGTTGAGGTGCTTGTGCTTAATACAGAGATGGTGGCCAATTGTCAGAGGGGAAGGACAATTTAGGGTGCAATGCTGGTTACTTTTACACATATTGTCTTCAACACAATCCCTGGATCTCTGTCAAGGCACAGGGAGCATTGAAAGAAATAGCAAGAGGCTGGGCGGGGTGGCTCACGCCTGTAATCCCAACACTTTGGGAGGCCGAGGTGGGTGGATCACCTGAGGTCAGGAGTTCGAGACCAGCCTGGCCAACATGGTGAAACCCTGTCTCTACTAAAAATACAAAAATTAGCAGGGTGTGGTGGCAGACGCCTGTAGTCCCAGCTACTTGGGAGGCTGAGACAGGAGAATTGCTTGAACCCAGTAGGCTGATGTTCTAGTGAGCCAAGATCGCTCCACTGCACTCCAGCCTGGGTGACAGAGTGAGACTCCGTCTTACAAAAAAAAAAAAAAAAAAAATAGCATGAGTGAAATTTGGAATTGTAACCCTGAAGGAAGAATAAGAATTGAGTGGGGAAAGACATTGTATTTGGTAGCGGGTTGTGAGCTATTATACTTGGGGCACAGCTGTCATACTTGCCCCCTTCCTTCATCAGATGGGGTTGGAGGCTGGACGAGATGAGGTCAGCAACACGAAGACAGGAAGAGAGACCTCAGTGTGGCGGTGGCTAATCTCGAGGTCACATCAAAGTCAGCCTACACCAGCAAGACAGGAGCCCAAAGGCAGAGTAGAGAGTCAGGCAGCATGGCAGTGAGTTCCTGAGTCACGGCCACCATGGAAAACCATATGCCACCAGGGAGAATCTCTGCATGTTCCCAGGACCCATTCCTGCCAGGGAGAGAGAGGGCTTGGCTCCCAGAAGTTATGTAGGTAGAACTTCGAGCCAGAGCCTGCTATTTTTGGGATCCACTGCCCTCGGCTGAACATAAACAACTGGAAGAGCCGAGGAAGCACCAGGCATCATGGCCCTGTGTGCAAGTCAGACCTGGAAGCGGCAGCAGAAAGTCAATAGGAGCCACTTCACTTTCCCCATCTGCAATAGCAGAAAAGGTTAAAACCAGCCAGGTTTCCATGCAAGAGATGCCAGTGTCCCCACAACCAGCAAGGTGGGCTATGTAGATTTTGCTAAACAGCTCAAAGAGTTACACAAAATTCTCCACACTAGTCAAGTTAAAATTTTAATTTTAGCCTGTTGTCCCAGCTACTCAGGAGGCTGAGGCAGGAGAATGGCATGAACCTGGGAGGTGGAGCTTGCAGTAAGCCGAGATCGCACCACCGCACTCCAGCCTGGGCGACAGAGCGAGACTCCGTCTAAAAAAAAAAAAAAAAAAATTTAATTTTAATCCACTCGGATTTTAAAATAGCATATCACGATGGAAAAAGCCTTGAACTTGGAGTGTAAGGGGCCTGGGTTGAAGTTCCATTCTAGCTGTGTGAATCGGTCACATTTCTGGACTTCAAATGTCTTGACTGTATAAACAAGATAATAATAACTAGCTTATGTGGGAATATACCTGTCAGTCATCTGCAATCCAAAAAGTTTTTAATAATCATTAGCTATTTTGATTGCACTGGGCTTTTAGGAGCATGGGAGGCCCACAACCCACACATGATGGGGCTGCAATGCCCCACGATTGGGATCTCTGGTCTAATATGAAGGGACTCAGAGGTCACCTAGCTTTGGTGAAGGGGCTCATGAGCTAAGGGCAGCACAAAAATTGCCCAAGTACGACCTAGCCTCAGTGCCCCTTCACAGATGGGGAATCTGGGGCCAGGTTGTTCAAACTTTTCCAGCCTGCATCTCTTTATCACTGCATTCCTGGTTCGGGCTCCAGAAGGCAGCTTAGTGAGTTGAAGAACTGGACTTCTTAACTGCCAGAAGTGCTGGTATTTTCCCCATTCAAGAAGACACTATCTGGTCAGAGGCAGTGGCTCATGCCTGTAATCCCAATACTTTGGGAGGCCGAGGCAGGCAGATCACCTGAGGTCAAGAGTTTGAGCCCGGCCTGGTCAACATGGTGAAACCTCGTCTCTACTAAAAATACAAAAATTAGCCAGGCATGGTGGTGAGCACCTGTAATCCCAGCTACTTGGGAGGCTGAAGCAGGAGAACCACTTGAACCCAGGAGGCAGAGTTTGCAAAAGAAGAAGAAGAGGAAGAGGAAGAAGAAGAGGAAGAAGACACTGAGTCTCTGCTAAATGCAATGAGGAAAGGAAAGGAAAGGAAAGGAGGAAAGGAAAGGAAGAAAGAGAGAGAAAGAGACAGAAGGAAGGCAGACAAGGAAGGAAGGAAGGAAAGGAAGGAAGGAAAGAAAGAAAAGAAAGAAAGAAAAGAAAAGGATAAAAAGAAGACACCATCTTCCCACTTCTGGCACTTTGTGGAAATTCTTAAAACTAAGTTCCACCACTGATTCATCCAGCACCCACCTCAGACTTGCCTTCCAGCTGGTATTCACATCTCCATGGTCCACCCAGGCTGCCTCTGCACAGGCTACCCAGGGCTGATCCCAGCGGCTCCTACCTGCGTGGCCCCTCTTGGCCTCTGCAGCATCTAACAACTTTCCTCCCCTGAGTCATGCCCACAGACACCTGTTCCTGCTTCCTCCAGGCACTGCTCTCTTCCAGCCTTCTCTTTGCCTTCTTCGCGATCTCCTCTTCCTTTGTCAGTTTTAGCCCCTGCCAGTGTTCCCTGTATCTGTCCTCAATTTTCTATGCTTCCCCCTCACTCTACTCACTCTCAAAGACAGAGAAACCCTGCTTATCTCTGCAGATGATGGCCAAGTCTCCATCCCAACCCTGACCCAGTTCCCGAGGGCCAGACCCTGGCTCCTGGCTACAGTATCCCGTGCAACATGCCTAAAACCAATGAATCCATCCTCCTCCCTCCAAACCAGCTCCTCTGGTGGCTTTCTAGTGCCAGCGACGACACTATCTTCTGTGAGTCACCTCACTCCACACCTCAAAGTCACCCTAGACTCCTCCTGCTCCCTCAGCCCCACATCCAATTAGCCGCGAGGTCCTGCAGGGTTCCCTTCATAATGGCTCTCATATATATTTATTTCTTTTCATTCCTGCTGTCAGCAAAGATCCTCCAAAAATACTACTTTCTCATTGTCTTTCTCGCTTGTGAACCGCGCAGAAGTGCTCTGGGTGGTGGGATGTCATTCAAGATGCCTTTTAAACTCACGGGCCTGGCATTCCTATGCCTCTGCCATCCACCCCAACCCTCCGTTCCACACGCACCTCCCACTGCTCCTCCCTCAACCCCTCACCCTAGCCTGACCATCTGTTCAAAAGTGCCTTTGAATGTGTTTGGCAAATTACTGCTTATGCTGGTCCTTTCCCTAGAGAGCTAATAATAGCAGCCCTTAGCAGCCCTTCCAGGTTTTACACACACCAAATTAGTCCTCACAACAACCCTAGGAAGCGCATACTATGATTACCCAGCTCTGTAGATGAGGAAACTGAGGCACAGAGAGGTTAAGTATGTTGTCTAAGGCCACACAGCCAGGGAGTGACGAAGTCAACATTTCACCCTAAGTTATCTGACTCCAGGGTGACTGGACCAAGAGGCCCAAAAATCCAGCTTGTTTGTGCAGAAGGGTACTTCTTACAGCTCAATATTTTAGCATGACCAAAATTGGCGCTGTGTTATGGAAATTTTGTAGTGTAATTCCTGGAGGAAAGAAACTTTTCCCATTGACCTTCAGGCCTAGGAGAGAATGATGACACATTAAGTCATCCTGCCATTAAAATTAAGTCCAATCACCCCTAATGGAATGTCACCTCCAAAATAGCCATTAAAGCCACCGGCCTAACAAACTGGCAGGTCCCGCGTATATCACCATTACCTTGTTCCTCTAACAACCATTCTGTCCGAGGCTGGGAAGGTCCCAGGAGACACTAAGTGTTGCTCAGATCTGCCCTGTGGATGTCACCCAGAGGAGAGAAGCCTGCTACTTTGGCGATGTTTGTATTGCAGTGTGGTTTGGAGACTTGGATGACAGGTGAGGTCCATGTACGTAGGTGCTGCACGCTTTGACTTCCACATGGCCAGGGCTGAGTTCTCACTGTCCTCAAGGTGAACCCAGGCTCTGTGATGGAATGGACTATGCCTGGTTGCTGAGCAGGGTATTAGACTCCAGCCTTCTGAGCTGCATGATAGTGTTGCCATTCTCCAAAGGCAGTAGCCCCCTCCCCAAGCTGTGGTCATCCAGCAAAGCATCCCGGGGGGTCCAGCTCCCTCCTAAGTCTCCCGGCCCTCAGTGAGTGTTCACTCTGCTTCCACTCAATTCTGCTAACATTTTTGGCACCAGGAGCCTTCACATGCACTCTGTCATTTGCAACTCACATAATAAAAGAAGACTGTTATTTTTATCTCCACCTTACAGATGAGACAAGCAAGGTTTAGGGAGCTAAGGAATCAAGTAGAAATGCGTGGGATGCAGGCACAGGGCTGGGCTGCAGCCCTTCCCCACCACATCATGCTTTTTCTTGAGTACCTTCCCAGGCATTGCTTCTTTCATGTCTGTACTTCACCCTGGAAAGCAGAATTATTCCCAATTAATAGACGGGAACACTGAGACTCCACCAGGCTAAAGGAAATTGCCCTAAGTGCACATCTAGCAAATGGCAGAGCTGGATGCGGGCCTGGCCTTGCCCCTGAGTGCCGTGCCCTCTGCCTGCCTCAGCCGGGGCCCCATGCTCACCCACTGGAGCTGGAAACCCCAGCTGCCCCAGCATCAGCCTCCTCTGCTGTGGCCCGAAGGACCCATCCTGCTTCTCCCCAGCCCTGCTGACCTTTCCAAGCCATGGCCTCCACTTCTTCCTGGGCCCAGGGGCCTGTGCATCCCCCCGTGGGCACCATGCCTCCCACTGCCCGCCAGTGCCCACGTGCTGTCCTCCCCCCACACGAGACCAGCCAAGACAAAAGGTAACCTTGATGTCAAGCAAAAATCTCTATAATAGCAGTTCACATTCACAGGGTGCTTAGTGGTGCCAAGCACTGTTTCCGGCATTCTGTGGGGATTGAATCCTCAAATCCTCACAGTAATCCTATGGGAAAGGTGCCGTCATCACCCCATTTGCAACCAGGAAAACCACAGCAAAAGGCCAAGTCACAAAGACTGGGAAGGGTTGGGGGAAGGGGAGGCTAGGGAGAGATTGTTAAAGAATACAAAACCACAGCTAGAGAGGAGGAGTAAGTTCCAGTGTTCTATCCCACTGCAGGATGACTGTAGGCCACAGTAATATGTTCTATAGTCTCCAGTAGCTAAAACGATGAATCAAATATTCCCAATACAAAGAAATGGTAACTGTTTGAGATGACAGATATGCTTATTACCCTAATCTGATCACTGTGCATTATATGAGTCAAAACATCACTCTGTACTCCATGAATATGTACAATGATTATAGGTCACTTAAATAATAAAATTTTAAAATGTAACTTGCCACAGTAAGTCACGACTGAAGCCCGGATTCAAACCCAGACAGTCTGGCCTGAGAGCTCGGTCTTAGGCACCACCTCTCGTGTGAAATATTATCGTGGTGCAGAGGGAAGAACAGGCTTTGGGGTCAGAATTCTAGTGTTGCTCCTTATTCTGTGACACTGAGAAGACCGAACCTCTCAGAAGATCGGTTCCCTCACATGTAAAATCTGGGCTAATTATGGATCTATTTGGTAGGACCCATGAGAATTAAACAGAAGAGTGGGTAGAAGTGTCTAAAACCGTCTGACATGCAGCAGGTACTGGGCATTCTTAATTTCCTCATTTGCTCTAATTAAGAAAGTCTTCAAAGAGAAGTTCCTGATGCTATGGTGGTCACTTTAGTGTCAAATGCTTCAGTGTCAAGGGGTTTTATTTATTTATTTATTTATTTATTTATTTATTTATTTATTGAGACAGGGTCTCATTCTGTCACCCAGGCTGGAGTGCAGTGGCACGATGTCAGCTCACTGCAACCTCTGTCTCCCAGGTTCAGGTGATTCTCTTGCCTCAGCCTCCTGAGTAGCTGGGATTACAGGCGTGCACCACCACACCTGGCGAATTTTTTTTGTATTTTTAGTAGAGACAGGTTGTCACCATGTTGACCAGGCTGGTCTTGAACTCCTGACCTCAGGTGATCCACCTGCCTCGGCCTCCCAAAGTGCTGGGATTACAGGCATAAGCCACCACCGTGCCTGGCCCAGTGTCAAAGGGTTTTAACAGAGCCCATGGAATTGCTCTAGAAGGAACACTTCTAATCTTTTTTCTTTTTAAACATTTTTTTCGAACATGCAGAAGAGAAGAAAAATCTTGTTCTTCAAGATTGTGGCTGAATTTAACTATATTTACTAATAACTAAATACATATAACTATATATATGTAATAAGTAATAACAATATATATAAAATAAGCTATAATGGTTTTTATATGATATATAAACTACCAAATAAGCCTATTTGGTCAATAGTGTGGTATTTCCACCTTGTCAGTAAGCCAATATCAAACAACATATATTTGCATCAGGAGAGAAACTCTCCTGTTCTCTGAGACGGGATTTGTTGTCCTTGGTCCCCAGCACCCAGGTGACCGTGCAATGCCGTGAAGGGGCCCCAGGTGTTTCTGCCCATCTGGGCCTAAACTGCTGAATGCAGCAACCCCATCTACCCTGAACCCTCCAGGCTGGCCCAGCCCCTTCCGTGGCTGACACAAATGAGGGTTTTACGGTTACTTAATGGAGGGTGGATGTTACACAGCATGGCATAAGGTCAGGGTGCTGAACTTCTGCCCAGAGAGTCTATAGCCTTCATTCTAATTCTTCTTCCTCCCCTTGGACAAGTCGTTTAACCTCCCTGAGGCCTATTTTTTTATAAAAATCATTTGTGAGGTGTGAATTACATTATATGTGTTTCTGAAAGCACAGGGTAAATGCAGTCTCCCTTCCCACGTGCTATTCCTTCTCCTTGGAATATATCTGCAATGTTCTTTCCTCTTCCGCTTCCCCTCCTTCTAGCAAACTTCTATGCATACCTTTAAGACTCAACTTAGAAGCTGCCTCCTCCAGGAAGCCCTCCTATACCCCAGCAGTCTGAAATGGGTCTCTCTCATAGCATTCAGGCTTGCTCTCTTATGCCACTTTGGTCTGTCTCTGTCATTAGACAGTGAACTTCTTGCTAGCAAGGTGGGTCTTGGCCGTTCTTGTTTTGTTGTTTTTTTTTTTTTTTTTTTCAGATGGAGTCTTGCACTGTCATCCAGGCTAGAGTGCAGTGGTGAGATCTCGCCTCACTGCAACCTGCGCCTCCTGGGTTCAAGCGATTCTCCTGCCTCAGCCTCCCGAGTAGCTGGGATTACAGGCACCCACCACCATGCCTAGCTAATTTTTTTTGTATTTTTAGTAAAGACGGGTTTTCACCATGTTGGCCAGGCTGGTCTCGAACTCCTGACCTTGTGATTCGCCCACCTCGGCCTCCCAAAATGCTGGGATTAGCGGCGTGAGCCACCACGCCTGGGTCTTGGCAATTTTTAAACCCCCAGAATCTAGGGCCTGGCACAAGATAGATTCTCAAAAAGAGCTTGCTGAACAAATGAATCATAAAGCTGAATTCCATAATCCAAGCCACATTTTCTCATTTACTCACAATATGGCACACAGATTATGCCTCTAGAAATAAACAAGGTCAGAGGTTGTGAGATGAGAGGTGGGTCAGAAAGCAGGGCAGGGTCAGGAGCTTCCACCGCCCTGACACCTCAGGCCCCGGCTCCAGCAACCCCACAGAATGACACAGCAACCACAGAAGGGGATGGCAGCCTCCTGCCCCTTGCCAAGCTGTAAAAAGTAATGGCAAGAAACCATGTCCTAATTTCCCTCCTCAGATCATGCCAGCTTGTGGAATTTAACCACGAGAATATTGATAAGTCCCGGAAAAAGGTTGGAGGACAAAGTCGATGTCTGTCATCAGCCAGGTTCCGCATGCCTGAATTGCAGAGTCATGGTGGATCTTAAGGGTCATCTAGTCTACCCTCTGCTCTGTGTACAAACCTCTCCGAGCCAGCGGTCACTCCCAGTCATGGGGTGTTTCAAAATCTCCAGACTTGAAGTTGTAAGTGGAGTGGCAAAGACAAAATTCACTCCATGATCCCTCCAATGCAGGGACGTTTTCGAGACTCAGTGGAGCACTTCGGATACACCACGCATTGCCTTGGGAACCACAAAGAACACAGAGATGAGACGTCATGCCTGCCTCCAAGGCTCAAGCTTCAGATGTGGCAGAAAGGCCGTTTCCACAGTGGGCATAATTGAG
Organism: Homo sapiens; assembly: GCF_000001405.40. Taxonomy (NCBI): domain Eukaryota; kingdom Metazoa; phylum Chordata; class Mammalia; order Primates; family Hominidae; genus Homo; species Homo sapiens. The sequence continues at coordinate 234,875,038 of NC_000001.11, forward strand.
GGCACCTAGAGTCAGGGCCGCAAGCTGGACATACGTGGTGGATGGAGACAGAAGCCATGTGGGGACATTCGGCAGAGCAATGGACCCCCTTCCTTCAGAAATTCAACCAAATCCGATGGTAGACTTGATTCCAAAAATTAATTTTCAGAAGGGAAATTTCAATATGGACTGGGTATTGAATGATAGATAGCAAGGAAGTGTTGGCAATTTTTAGGCCAGACGACCATAACATCATTACGTATAAAAATGCCCCTCTATTTTAGAGATGCAAAATCTAGTACATAGATATAAAGTGGCGTGAAACATTAAAGCAACTCAGAAAGAAATAAGTAGAGGCAGGGATCCATGAAGCAACTGTGGTAAGATCTTGATAGCCATGGATTCTGGGCGACATATGGTTCAGGTGCATCGTGCACTCTCTCTCCTTTGGGAATGTTTGAAATGTTCATAATTTAGAAAAGCTGAGAATGAAAGGAAGGTGGCCCAGGAAGGAAGAAGCACTTTCAGCTGGGCCTTAGATCGCGAGCAGGAGCTCACAGATGGAAACAGACAGGAACGTTATTTGCAGGGGGGCCCAGCTCATCAGAGGCCCCGGGTGGGAGGGGTTGGCTATGGCTCAGGAGTTCAGGTTGCCCCTGTGTGGGTCAGAGTTCCAAACATGGGGCCCATGGCTCCTGAGGGCCACCTGTATTGACCTGTTTCTCCAGGATGTGGTAAGTGCTGTGGATCAACAAGCAAGGCAAAGTACTCCACAGATGCCAGTTCCTGCAGGCAGGCCGCGGGGAGGCTGCCAGACAATTTTCCAGAACAACCTGTTCGTTCTTACTGCGCCGGCCCTGGCCTCGAGGACCGTGCGTACTCACTTCATCACTTGCATAACTGGTGGATCCAGGCTCCCGAGATCAGCGCCCCTCCTGAGCTCCATCGTTTCCCTGTGCGGGGGTCTACAGTCTTCTTGGGAATATACTTCCTGTTGCCCCTACTCTGGATTTCCCCATCTCCAGAGGGAGCAGATCAGAGGAGGCGACACGGGAGGGGTGGATGAGGTCACCTGCCCAGGGGGGCATCCGCCTGCCACACCCCCTGGCCCGTCCTGCCCTCAGTCTGGACCCTTCCTCCCCTGGCACTGTCTCTGGAAGGAAGTGGGCTTCCACAGGGCCTAATCTGCTGCTGCTGCTGCCCTCTCACACGGACCTCCACCACCGCCCACCTCCCCAGAGGCCACCACAGGCCTCTGCTGGGGCACGCTGGGGTTTCAGGGCCTGCCATAATGTCCTACCATCTCATCTCTGGGCCCGATTTGCCCCGGGCTTATCCAGTTTCTCTAAGATCATGGAAAAAATGAGCCCTGGTCATATCTGCAGAGCAGCCTTGGCGTTGACCTCTTGTGGCAATTGCCTTTGACAGCCTGAGAGTCATTCAGAAATTGCCTATGGTTCACTCGGGGGAGGTGGGTGGTTCCTCTCTTGCAAGCTTATCTTCACTTTGCAGCCCTGGTAAGTAACTGCTGAGCGTTGCACAATCAGGGAGAAAATATTTACAATGAAAGTTGATCCAGAAAGACTTAGACAAGGGTCAGTGTACCTTCAGTTTAGCCTGACCTCTTCCAGATGAAGTGACTTTGGACAAGGGTTGTAATCTCTCCATGCCTTAGGGAGAGACAGAGACATATGGTACAAAAAGCAGGAGCTTCAGAGTCAGAGAAATGAATTCGAATCCTTCCTCCCCATTCACTAACCTGGGAGTTTGGGCAACAGGGATCATCTCAGATTATATTTCCTATCTCAGAGTATTTTGCAGATTAAATGAGATAAACTCGAGATGGTCTGCAAGGTATAGGCACATGCCACCACCTCCTCCTCCCACATCAATACAAAGTTCCTCATCTTTTTTTTTTTTTTTTCTTTGAGGTGGAGTCTCACTCTGTCACCCAGGCTGGAGTGCAGTGGTATGACCCCAGCTCACTGCAGCCTCTGCCTCCCAGGTTCAAGCGATTCTCCTCTCTCAACCTCCCAAGTAGCTGGGGTTACAGGCGCCACCATGCCCCGTATGGTGGGATTACAGGCCGCCACCATGCCCAGCTAATTTTGTATTTTTAGTAGAGACGGGGTTTTCCCATGTTGACCAGGCTGGTCTTGAACTCCTGACCTCAGGTGATCCACCCGCCTCAGCCTCCCAAAGTGCTGGGATTACAGGCGTAAGCCACCGTGCCTGGCCCCTCATCTTTTTGATAAGGGAGTTGGAGGGGATGACCAGCAAGGCCACTTTCGGCTCGGACCCAATGCAGTCCCAAGAAATCACAGGAGCAGTAAGTTATTCTCCTTCCTGTGTCCAGCCCCAGGCTCCAGTCTCAGCCGGTATTCTAAAACCATCAGGACTCCAAGAGGTCCAGGCAAAGTCTGAGCCCCACATCCACTCAGCCCCCAGTACCGCTGCTCTATCCTCCGCGGGCTTCTCCGTTCCATGGCCCAGTGGGGCTCTTCCTTCCTAATTTTCTGCACTTTCTTGAGGGTTGCCGGTTAGGTAGGAATGAATTCTAAGACACTCAGACCTCAGCCACTATTCTGGTGGGTGGCACAATGGATAGAATCTTCCTTGAGCCAGACACTGGAAATGAATTCACTCCTTGAAGGCTGATGGCTTTGGACACATCTGCTCCTCAACGTCCTTGCCTCTCAAATGATAGCGTGGCCCAGCCACCCTTGGATGGTTAGGTGGGATTTTCTGCTGGAATTGTGCATCTTGGGAAAATGTTTTGAAAAGCCTGAAACTCTGGAAAGATGGGAGTAGGATGGAGACTCCAGTTTGAGTCTCTAAGCCAGGTCTGCAGGATGGGCCCCTCCAACTGAGTAAGTGCCTGCTGTCCTTTTCCCGGCACCCCCACTGGCCAACTCCTCCTCAGCCAGAGATGTTGGGGCTATTTCCATCTGTGCGCTAAACCCTCGTGGATGGGCGTGGCCACCTTTCCATAGGAAACCACCCAGTGGTAAGTCCTCTATCACCCTCTCGTGACCTCTAGGTAGGTGGCCATATGTCCCCTTTACCCAGTTTATTCCGGTGAATAGTGCCTCCTTTCATTCTCAAACAAGTGTCCCAGCTGGCACAAGAAAACACGGGGTCACTGCACCTCTAGGCCAAGTGACACCTCTACAGACACCGCCTCTGGGCAAGCTGGGTCACCTCTGCACGGAGTCGTTTCAGGGTGGGTCAGCCCCTTTGGACATCATGTAACGTGGTCATTATCCTCTACATCACTGTTACAAAAGAGAATGTAACTTCAAGGTAACAGAAGAAAGATCAGAGGGCACCGGCCTTCCTCCATGAGGACGCAGCTCCATTTGCAGCCCTGGCTGACCACCTTCTTTGGTCCGCTTCTCTTCTGTTTCGTTCTTTAGCCTAAGGCTTACCTCTGCCAACGTCAGCATGAGGAGGCGCCACGGCCCCCTGCACCCAGAGCTGCCCTGGCAGTGGCTCCCAAGGCCACGGAGCAGCCCCCGGCTGAGGAGAGGCATATGACAGCCAAGGACATTCTGCACCCAACAGACCGAAGCTCCTTATCCCAGGCTGATTGTTCTCGGCTATGATGGCACCATGGCAAGGGAAACTTGAACGAAGGCTTGGGATGACACAGATAGGTGAGCTGCTGATGTTTTCACATTTCTTTTTCCTCCTCAGCCAGCAGTTGCATGGTTTTTCTTATGGATTGGAGAGGGAACACTGCCTGCCAGAACACTGCATGTGTGCAAATGTTTATAATAATGCTACTCCCATGACGGTGTGTCTTAGAGGCACGTCAAGGACAGGAGCCCTTTTTCCATTTTACGGATGAGGAAACTAAAGAAGGAAAGAAATTCTGCTCCTCAGCCGGGCGCGGTGGCTCACGCCTGTAATCCCAGCACTTTGGGAGGCCGAGGCAGGCGGATCACTTGAGGTCAGGAGTTCAAGACCAGCCTGGCCTACGTAGTGAAAGCCCATCTCTACTAAAAATACAAAAATTAGCCAGGTATGGTGGCAGCTTCCTGTAATCCCAGCTACTCGGGAGACTGAGGCAGGAGAATCACTTGAACCTGGGAGGCAGAGGTTGCAGTGAGCTGAGATCGCACCACTGCACTCCAGCCTACGTGACACAGCGAGATTCTGTCTCAAAAAAAAAAAAAAGGAATTCTGCTCCTTAACTTGACCTAATGAATTAGGCTTCCTTCTAGAAATAATTAAGGCTTAGATCAAATTGTATCCGAAACAGAAAGTGAAATAGGGCATGTTCTCACTCAGAAGTGGGAGCTAAATGCTGAGTAGTGAGGGTCATGTAGAGTGGATAATGAGACTTCAAAAAGTGGAAGGAGGGGCAGTGAGGGCTGAGAAAACTCCTGCTGGGTACAATGTTCACTCTTCAGGTGCAGGCACACCAAACACCCAGACTCCCAGACTTCCCAATATGTTCATGTAACCAAACTGCACCTGTACCCCCTAAATCTATAAAAATACACAATTTTTAAAATATTCTTCACAGACACGCACACTCACACACTCACACAAACTCTCCACTCCTCCGAGGCCCTTGCCTGGCTTCCCTCCTCTGGTTTCACTCATGATGCTTTCCTATCTCCCGGCTATAAATACACCACACTCAAACATGTCTCTTGGTTTCACTCCATTGGCCAAAGAAGTGGTTATCCAGAAGCAGCCAGTGAGGGGAGAGGCAACACATTTGCTCAGTCCAGGACAAAGGTGGCCCACAAAAACAAAATGTTTTCTTGCCTTTTGATGCATCTGACAGAGTGCTATTGAGGGAGGCCTGGGCCTGTCCCATACTCTCCGGGCCTACAAATACTTTCAGTATCCACCAGCACTGGGGGCTGATCACACAAGAATACAAAAGCTTCTCAGCCTGATGCGGTGGCTCATGCCTATAATCTCAGCACTTTGGGAGGCCAAGGCAGATGGATCACTTAAGGTCACCAGTTCAAGACCAGCCTGGCCAACATGGTAAAACCTCGTCTCCACTGAAAATACAAAAAAATCATCCAGGCATGGTGGCACATGCCTGTACTCCCAGCTACTTGGGAGCCTGAGGAAGGAGAATCGCTTGAACCTTGGAGGTGGAGGTTGCAGTGAGCCGAGATCGGGCTACTGCACTCCAGCCTGGGAGACAGAGCGAGACTCTGTCTCAAAAAAAAAAAAAAAAAAAAATCTCATTTTAGATCCTGCCTAAGCCACAGACTGACATGAGGCCCCCTCATTGCCAACCACTAGTTCAGCTGTGGGAAAGCCACCTCCAGGTCTTTTGTGAGAGAATCAAGGTCAGACCCCAGAGAAGCCATCTCTTCTAACTACCATGGTCTTCCTGACTCCCATTCAGAGTCAATCCTTCCTCTATTTCTCACAGACTTTTATTATTGTTATTGTCTTTAATGAAGATGTACCTAGAGTCATATATCATGATATTATTGTTTCAAATATTATTAGTAGTAGTATTTATTGGGTGCTAGTTTGTATTGAGTGCCTTTCATTCATCATCACACGTGATCTTCTTAACAAACCTAGAGTGTAGGTAACATTAATACTATACTATTATCACCATCACACCGATGAGGAAACTGTGACTCAGAAGGTTAAGTAATGTGCCCAAAGTCACACAGCTACTAAATGACAGAGCCACATTTTAAACTCAGGGTTGACAGACTCCACCAAAGATCATCTATTCCAACGCTTCCCATATGGAACACTATGCCAAGAGATGCATAGTTGCTATCTGACCTAAAATGGGTGGATAGGGAAGTTCTGGATTAAATAAGTTTAAGAAATACTACATACCCAGTGGTCCCCAGACTTGTTGGTTTCAGGAACCCTTTGCACCCTTAAAAATTATCAAGAGTAGGCCAGATGTAGTGACTCCTGCCTGTAGTCCCAGCACCCTGGGAGGTCAAGGCGGGAGGACTGCTTGAGTCCAGGAGTTTGAGACCAGCCTGGGCAACTTAGCGAGACCCCATCTCTACAGAAAAATGTATAAATTAGCCGGGTGTGGTGTTATGCACCTATAGTCCCAGCTACTCAGGAGGCTGAGGCAGGAGGATCATTTGAGTCTAGGAAGTCAAGACTGCAGTGAGCCATGATTATGCCACTGCACTTCAGCCTGGGCAGCAGAGCAAGACCATGTCTCAAAAAAAAAAATCAAAATCTTCAAAGAGCTTTTGTTTATGTGGGTTATGCCTATCAATATTTACTATCATCAAAATTAAACTGGAAATTTTTTAAAATATGCAATCGTTCACTTAAAAATAATAATAAATTTACTCCCTGCTAACACCATATTTTTGTGAAAAATGACTCTATTTCCCAAAACAAAAATACCAGTGAAAAGAGTGGCACTGTCCCACGTTTTGGTCCAACTCCTCAGTGTTCCGCTTAAGAGCTGGATTTTCACTTCTGCTTCTGAATTCAACCTGTTGCACTATCATGTAGGCTCTAGAAAATTCCAGTGTATGCTTGTGACAAAGTAAGGGTAAAATGATGCCTTAGTCTTGTTCTGAAAGTAGTGTCGACTTAACTGACCCTCCTGAAAGGGTCTCAAGGACCCTTGAAACTTCTGGCCCACACACTGAAAACCACCACTGTACTTTGAATTCTTTTTTTTTTTTTTTTTTTTTGAGACGGAGTCTCGCTCTGTCACCCAGGCTGGAGTGCAGTGGTGCGATCTCAGCTCACTGACACCTCCGCCTCCCAGGTTCAAGCAATTCTCCTGCCTCAGCCTCCTGAGTAGCTGGGATTACAGGCGTACACCACCATGCCTGGCTAATTTTTGTATTTTTAGTAGGGACAGGGCTACCAGGCATTCTTTTAGAAACTCACAGCGCATATCAGCCAGGCGCAGACTCTGAGAAGTCCTGCATGAAGGGATCATCTATAAGGTCTAATTGAATGTTTCCCAGAGTTATTGAGTGGAACATGCTTGTTAATTGACATACCCTATGACATCATGTGGAACGGCTTTCCAGTGCTAACCGTATGAAAATCTCACTAATCTGCCAGCCTCCCACCCTCAGGCAGGGTAACCCTAGAGCCACTCAGGAAACACATTTTGCATTTCACTACACTAAATCTTGCCTTGTCAAGCCGTCAACCCTCAGCGTTTCTTCCAGGGAAGCCGCGCAGCTCAGTGGAAAGACCACAGACTCAAGGCTTGAAATCTGCATCCACCACTTAACTAATTGTGTGACAACAGGAAAGACACTGAAATGCCCTTAGTCCTTCTCATCTGTAAAATGAGAGTAACACCTAATAGTGAAAGTTCCATAATCACTTTTTGTATCATCAGTCTAGACAGAGACCTGATCTCTACTATGTAACCAAACCACACACTTCATGCATTTCAAATCACGGGGTCTCTCTTGGCTCCTGTTGTTCTTGATCATGTTTTGTCACAATTTTGTTCATTTGCTTCATGTTGTTCTTCTGTCTGAGATGCACTCCCCATCTTTCTGCCTGGAAAACTTCTATGCATCCTTCAAAACCCTGATCAAAGTCCAACTCCTTTAGGAAGCCTTTTCTGACACCCCTGTCGCATTTCTTAGCCTTCAGCCCTCAGCACAGACCTCCTCAAACCTCAGAGGCAGTGCCTTCCTCGTGGTCACTTCACTGTCTGTCCCAAGTCTCTCTCTCCCCACCTCAGGCCCTGAGCTCCTCAAAGTCACTCTGCCTCCTTCTGCTCCATGCATACACAAGGTAAACCTCGAACAGCACTCATTCAGTAGAGGTTATCATTTCCTGTGAGACTAAGCCCACCAAGAAATCCTTTAGCCTTTCCTTGAGCACTAGTTGTTCTGCATCCTCCCTCCCCATCCGCAGGTGCAGGCAGGTCTTGATCTGACAGAGGTTCAGAGGCTGACCGTGCAGCCCCTCTCAGCTCTGCCCATCTGAACGCTGTCCTCAGGCCTGTCTGGCCTACATTCTCAAACTAGGAACAGAGGTGCATGGCAGGCAGGGGTCTGATGAGATGACAGCCAGGGGACATCAATCACCAGGGCCTAGCAGCGGTGGCACCCTGGGTGCTCTTCCTCAGGAACCGCTGCAGGAACTCTCAGTTCTGCCCAACATCATTTACCAAGGGCCTGTCTGGGACAACCGCCACCAATGGGTGCCTGTCCCACGCACATCTCACCACTAGCAAAACCCAGGGCTGAGGGCTGTGCAAGGGTCAGATTATCTAGAGGACTTACTGCTGCCCTTCAGAGCAGCCATGAGGCTGGACTTACCAATTCTCTTGTAGAGAAGGCTTTGTGGTCCTGGCTCTCTCCATGGGCTTTGCACAGTTGTTCCTACTAAGTTTTTTCCACAGCAGGCTGTGGACATCACAGGGAGGCAGCCATGTTTTTTGGGAGCTCAAGGGTCATTGTGCCTGGGGTCTAAGTGCTGAGCAGAACAGTGAGGAAAGACAGAACATACAGGAGGGCACCAGAGGTGCTTAGATCATGTGGGGAAGAACATCCGGAGGTTAAAATAACTTTTCTTACTCCCTATGTCATCTTTGTGGGTTCTAATGCAACTTCAGGATCTGTTTGCCTTTAAATTCCTTACTGGACAAAGTCAAGTGGACAGGAGTAATTTGGAATTCTTATGTTCTTTCTGACCAGGTACATATGATTGATTATTAAGTATTTCAGAGAGAGTGCAAAGGATCATCCTCAAGGGTTGCCCCAGTTAAATGTGAACAGAATCAAAAGTCATAGCTTCCACCCCATACAATGTTAAGGCATCACTCTGTCATTCATTCCTCCATCCAGTATTTACTGAGCACCTAGTATGTGCTCTGTACTAGGTTCTGAGAGCACAGTGGTGAGGAGGACCCACATGCCTCCTATCCTTCATAGGAGGAGAAAGGCACAAACCAGAAAACCCCCCCAACACACACACACATACACATATATTAACAAGGGAATGAGTGCTTTAAAGTTCAGGAATTATAAACACAAAGAAATGTGGTTATAGACATGGTTCATGGAAGGCTGGAGGGCTGTGGACTTTTCTCCAGAGGAGTAATATTTCAGCTGCATCAAGCAAGATGTGACAGTGGCAGGTGAAGGGGACCCGGAGCAGGTGGGAGGAGAAGCCCTCCTGGCAGAGGGGTCAGGTGTGAAGGCCCCGAGAAAGGGTGGCAAGGGCTTGGCACATGGAGGGATTGAAGAAAGGTGAGGTAGCAGGAGCGTGGCATGCAAACGCCAGCGGCACAAACTGCGCTGGGGAGGAGAGCAAGGGCTGAAGGTGCAGAGCCTTGGACACCATCCTAAGGAGTGTGATTTTTTTTTTTTTTTGGTCCCTCAGTGCAATAGGAAGCCCTAGATGGGGCTCAGCAGAAAGTGACACATTCTGAGTTATATTTTAGGAAGTCACTTGGGCAGGAGGTGCAAGGGTAGAATCAGAGAGACCCATCAGGAGGGCACAGGTGCTGGTGGCCTGAATGAAGGGACTGGCAGAGAAACTGCTGTGATCTGGAGAATGCTGGATATGTGGCTCCAGGGCCCCAGAGGGAAGACCTCATACTCACCTCCACTTGGCACATGCAGAGGAGAGGGGAGCCTCTGGTGCCATACTCAGAAAGGCAGATGCTGGCAAAAGAAATCAAAGAAGAATGCCTCTCTGGACGCATGGACCTCTGAGTCCTGCCATACCTGGGCTTTGTCCAAGACTGAGGGAGCAAGCTGGACTGGGCAGGAGCAGGAGCAGGACAAGTCAGGGCCTTCCCCTCCTTCCATACAGCCAGCCATGGTCCTGAGGCAACCAGGGACCAGCACTTACACAGACCCTGCCTGGAGGTTCTGGTTTCCCCAGCCCAAGAAGCCAAGGTCATTCATGCCTTTGCTGACCTGTGGCCTCCCCATGGCCCTGTCCTAGTGCCCCAAGGCACTAGCCTCCAGCTTCCCAGGCCACATGTCCCAGGCTCCTTCATGCCCCACTGCAGTCTGTACCTGGCCCCCAGGGGCACCCATGCCTGCAGAGACTGCCCAAGTGGTGGATTATCAGCCTGGCTCTTCCCTCCTGCACCCTCAGCCCTGCAACAGAGGAGAGCTCTTCCCTAACCCTTGGCTGCAGGTTGGTTGTATAATTTGCAGTGGGCACAGGTATGTGGTTAGAGGGCCAGTGTGTCTGCTGCAAGCATAGGCCTGACAAGCCTTGCATGTTTCCACTGCTCTTTTGTATCTCTGCCATCATCAAAAGAAGAGTCTCCTGCCTGGGACCCAGGGTGAACCACCATGGAGTAAAATCAGCCCCGCCAACCCCTGAAGACCTACAGCCTGAACCTGCAGATCCACAAAACAAATGTCTATGACTGTCTGCTCCTGAGATTTTTGTAGTTCTTCATTGCTGACATACCTCTCTCCTTGCCTGCCATGTCTTTGAGATGGTGAGATGTCCGAGGGCCAGAACCACACTTATTTTTTAACTTGTTTCCCAAAAGCCTAGCACAGAGCAATTATTTAATAAACATCTCTCAAATGTAGAAAGGAATGCACAGGTGCACCACAAAACTATCTGAGTAACTGGATCAGCCTTCCGGGGATCCCCTGGCCCAAGGGTGATCATGGGAAGGACTGAAGACTACCGAGCAGGCCCCACGAGGACAGACACGCAGGCCCAGGGTTGGGCCAGCCCTCAAAATAGGCAAGTGAGCCAGGCAACAGCCCTGGGATTGTATTTCACTATCCCTCGACTGAGCTGGTGTCCTCAGCTCCCCTTTCATGTTTCAGAGACCAACAGCCCTTCTTACAGGCAATCCCCTGACAACCAGCTGGCTATTCTCTGCCCCAAACTGTACACGCCCTCTGAGGCCCGGGCTCTGGGGGAGGGACTCCAGATGCACATGCCAGTCTGGTGGGGTGGCAGCTATTCCAAGAGGGTCGCATAGGTCAAAAGCAAAAGGAGACCAGAAAACCAGGCCACGCCCTGCCAAGAAACAGAGGGAGGCTGGACATCCCAGCCCACCCAGACTCAGCATCTTCAGGTAGAGCAGAGAGGATGTCAGCACTCCTCAGGAGGCTGACGGCTCCCCAGCTAGGGTCTCCCATGGCCCAGGGGTCTATGGTGCAGAACATGGAACCTCTGAAAGGGGCAGGCTAAGTGGGACATAGGTGGGAAGGTGGAGCCTGCAGATGGCCAGCCATCCTCACCAGCTTCCTGGCTCAGGGGACCCAAGGCCACACATCCAGGGAGTGCAGGGAGCCCTCGGCTAAGGTCAGCAGCCAGCCCCAGCTCAGGGTGGGTGGGCACCGACTGGATGAGGGATAGCAGGGGCTCCTTCTTCCTTCCTGTGTCTTCTTGGATGTCTTTTTAGAGAAATACATCAGGAGATCAAAGGCCCTGCGTGTCCCTGGCCCCACGGCAGCCTGGGGGTCCCCAGGGAGCCGCAGGGGTTTTCTCTCCTGAGTTGCCTGGTGCCCTGGGCCTCTGCAGGGAGAGCACCATGTTCTGAAATTCAAGTGGACCTTGGCAATGAGGCAGTCTTGACTGAGATAGCCCCACTATTTTTGGAAACTAGATTAAAGGGAAGGCTTATAAATTACCTCTCTATCCATTGAAGGACAACTCCAGATCTTTTAAAGGAGGTTGCGAAACAAACCTTGACAGTTTCCTCCTGGTCTGGGACTCATATCTTTTTTAAGCAAATGAACAGCACCTTGTCTAAATCAGGATCCATAAAGACGCAGTTGGCTGCTGTTAGGAATTAGTCAGGTGGTTTTGTGCAATATACTTGCCCAGTCACGCTGGGACCCAGCGTGCCCCAAACACTGTCTTCTTAGCAAACGTAGAAAGCGGTTGCACTCAGCTGACCACCTTACACAGACCCGACTGAGAAACACATACACGATTCCACACTGGAAATAGGAACAGGTCCCTTTGCATTCAGTCTTGCCATAAAGGCGACATCTACCCATAGCCCTCGCCCCTCTGCAGAAATGCATTTAGCTGTCAGCATCCGTGGGCATCCAGTTCTACCCACTCACCAAGAACCTTGAGGTCATGCTGAACTCAGAAAAATATTTTCCCTTTTATTTTGGTTGGGTTTTGAGGCTGAGGTTCAGAAGCAGGGAACCAAATGACATAACGAAAGAGTAAGATCCAAGCTCATTTCCCAGGAGCCCTCAGTCCACATGGCAGATGTTCCAGGGATTAAGTCATCCACAGAAGAGTTATGAGAAAGGATATCACCCACTTTAAGAGCGGTACAATCCGTCCCACGGGGGCAAGCGTGGTAAGTGGAAATGAAGAGAGGGTTGACATTTCGATTTAAAGCTCCAGTAACTTGCAGGTAATGTTTCAAGGGTGTCTGGTGCACAGGAAACAAAGAGAGATGACTGAGGATGGAGATTAACCCCTTAGCCTCCACCACTCTTTTGGCCTTGACCTTCTCGGTTACAAAGAATGGCAGAAGGCACTACCAAAAAAGTGGGAGAGCGGTGTTTCCATGTCCTGTGGCCAAAGGCTGGGCTCCGTAACAAATAACTTACATGCAAGAACATCTTGCATGATGTATCTGTTCTTCATGTCTTCCATGTAATGAAACAAATACGCATTGAGCATTTAATCTGATCAAAAATAAGTATTGAGTTCCCATGTGAGGCTTAGTCCAGGTCATCAAAGGCTTATGAGTGGGACAAGGTACACCCAGTTAAACTAAGTGCAGAGTAATCAGAGGCAGCAAACCGGAAGAGCAAAGGGAAATTAGAGACAAACTGTCCAGGGGCTCTTGCCCAGGTGGCTCAGCCTCTTGCCTTCAGTTTGTTCATTTCTCAATTAAGAAATCAAAATTGGGGTGGGCATGGTGGCTCATGCCTGTAATCCCAGTACTTTGGGAAGCCGAGGCGGGCAGATCATTTGAAGCCAGAATTCAGGACCAGCCTGGGCAGCATTGCAAGACCTCGCCTATACAAAAAATAAAAATTACCCAGGTATGGCAGCATGCAGCTATAGTCCCAGCTACTCAGGAGGCTAAGCTGGGAGGAACACTTGAGCCCAGGAGTTCAAGGCTGCAGTGAGCCATGATTGCACTACTGCACTTTAGCCTGGGCAACAGGGGAAGACCTTGGCTCTAAAACAAACCAGAAATCTAAGTCACATCTAGCCATAGACTACCATGGTTCTAAATACCCCAAGTTAGCTGGTAGTAATAAAAGCTTACGTGCACAGGTTATGACGCCCCTGGCACACTTATGGCCTCCTGGGAAGCCCAAGAGGTGGTGCTGCAGAGGGTCAGCTCCAGGTCAGAGTCTTGGGAGGATTTCCTAGAAAGGATCAGTGGGTTTAAGATGGCAAAGAAGGAGGAAGGCATATGATATGGTTTGGCTGTGTCCCCACCCAAATCTTGAATTGTAGCTCCCATAATTCCCAAGTGTTGTGGGAGGGACCCAGTGGGAGGTAACTGAATCACGAGGGCAGCGCTTTCCCGTGCTGTTCTCCGGATAGTGAATAAGTCTCATGAGATCTGATGGTTTTATAAAGGGGAATTTCCCTGCACAAGCTCCCTCTTACCTGCCGCCATGTAAGATGTGCCTTTCTCCTCCTTTGCCTTCCACCATGATTGTGAGGCCTCCCCAGCCATGTGGACCTTTGAGTCCATAAACATCTTTATAAATTACCCAATCTCAGGTATGTCTTTATTAGCAGTCTGAGAACAGACTAATACAGCATACTAGTCAAAAAGCACCCCTGGGTGGCACAGGGGTGAGAAGAAGGGGATATGCTGGGGAGAAAAGAACTGAAGGAGGGGAGGGAAGATACCTAAGAAGAGGAACTACAAGAACTCTCTAAAAGTCCTAGGCTCTGACCAAACCAGGCAACACAAACCAGAATAAGTCACTACCTAGCGGGCCCTTAAGCACACCCAAGTTTACCCAACTCTGCCGAAGATGAATTGGAACAATGCCTTTTCCTTGGGCCTTATTTCATCTGATGCTCATGACAATGTGGCAAGGTGAAGCAGGGATTATTCACCCATCTTACAGATGGGCATCCCTGACCCATGGCAACCAGGGGCTGGCCCACAGTTGGCAGCTGATGGTAACATGGCCCTTATACCACCTGCTTCCCACCACATGACCCCAGAGCCCCATTTTGAACTGAATCCAAAAATATAGATTTCTCTGAGTCTTCGTATTCTCTGAAACTACTGAACCAAGACATCAAAATACTCTCCAAACAAAACTGTCCTTTCATCCATTTCTGAGACCTTCTATAGAGAAGACCACCAGATAGCCCTTTGCCTGTGGGTAGGGGCAAGCACCTGAGGTCAGCTGGAAAAAAAAAAAAAATCAATCCAAGGAGGTCATCCCTCCACCAGTCTAGAATTCCCGCTGTTTAAATGTCTTTTTTCTAACCCAGGGTATAAAATAAATTAGGAGTGCAGGAATGTTAAACTTCAAGGCGGAATTTAATATATATATATATCCACACACCTACAGCTGAAACTTTTTGCTTGAGAATTACATACACACGGTGGATGTATCGATGAACCTGCACAGGGAAGACTCAGAATCAGGCTGTGGATCAAAAGGGACATTGAAGAGCATCTCATCCAAATGACCCCTGCATTTTGGGAAGGAGAAAGCTGAGGCTCAGGAAAGTCAAATGACTCCTCCAAGGTCACAGAGCTGCCAGCCAGTGAATCTGTCACCTGCCTATTCCAAACTCCAGACCACGCCCTCCCCTTGTGGGGGGTGAGAAGAGTCGACTCTTTTGGCTCTGTGGCACTTCCTCTGAGGACAACAGGCGCACACACTCATCAGGAGAGTCATTGCTCCCGTCAGCATCCTGAACAGTGAAATGCCTCGGGCTGCGGCACAGCAGAAGGGCTGCTGGTGTATTCACACCATTGGGCAGGACAAGCAAGGATTGGAGGGATGTGGTGAGAAGAGGGCAGAGGAGAGGTGGCCCATGCAGGAGGCTCCCCATGAAAGGAATGGAGATGGGTGTGAGCAAAGGCACACCGGCCAGAGGAGGCTCAATATGATCAGAGCTATTCCATTGGAATAGACAGAATTGGCTGAGCACAAATGCAGGGCTGCTGTATGATTCCATTCCTGCAGCTCTCAAGAAGAGGTAAAACTAATGCAAGGTGATCAAGGTCAGAACAGTGACAGGCTTAGGATGGGCAGGGTGCTGTTCCTGGGAAAGCATGGAGAGACTTTCTTTCTTTTTTTTTTCTTTCTGAGACAGAGTCTTGCTCTGTCACCTAGGCTGGAGTGCAGTGGCGCAATCGCGGCTCACTGCAACCTCTGCCTCCCAGGTTCAAGCAATTCTCCTGCCTCAGCCTCCTGAGTAGCTGGGATTACAGGTGCGTGCCACCACACCTGGCCAATTTTTGTATTTTTAGTAGAGACGGGGTTTCACCATGTTGGTCAGTCTGGTCTTGAACTCCTGAACTCATGATCCACCCTCCCAGTCTCCCAAAGACCGGCCTCAGGCTGGTCTCGAACTCCTGACCTCATGTTCCACCCACCTCAGTCATGTGCTGGGATTACAGGCGTGAGCCACCGCACCCAGCCTGCATGGAGAGACTTTCTGGGGTGATGGAAATGTTCTCTACCTGGATCTGGGAAGTGATTGCACAGGTGGATGCAAATGTGAAAAGTTATTGAACTGTACATTTCAGATCTGCACATTTAATTGCATGAGTTATGCCTCAAAAAAATCTGGTGGGAAAAAAATCAAGAATGGATCAAATAGGCTACGTGAGGAGGTAATGACTCCTCTGCTCCTAGAAGCATTCAGACCTAGGCTCTGTGACTGTTCAGTGTGGCCACAATTTGAGCATCAGGGGATGGGGCTGCAGGCTGCCCTGCTTTCAAGGGACCTCAGTAGTTCTGGGAATCCAAGGGCTGGCAAGGAAGCCACATCCTCATACAGCTCCTGCTGACATCTGCCCAGGCTGGGTCTGTCCCTGTGGTTTCCTGGGGGCCGTAAGCGCTGCCACTGTCCTGCATAGAGGGCTTCCTCCGTGCCCTCCTCCAGTCACACACACACCATAGAGCCAGGCAGTGCCTCCAGACCCACTCCTATATCTTGCCCAGTCTCTTGCCTGACCCTTCCCTAGACCCACGATGTGCCCCAAGACTCCTCTCAGTCTTGCAGACCTTCCCTTGCTCGTGGCCCTCCTTTGCCCAGGAGAGGGATGGTGCTTCCCAGCTCTGGACCCCATAGCCCAGGCCAGCCCAGACTTGCCCAAACTCAGTGCCTGGTAGCCCCCTTCCCTTACACATCCTGGGCTCCCAAGCCCCCAAGCCTCAACTAAAGCTCAGTCCCTGTGTTTGAAGGCCCTGTGTGTCTGAGATGAGCCCCGAGCTGGGCTGGCCTGACACCTTCCCACAGGAGTCCCCATGTGTGTCCTGACAGGAGCTCACACACCCAGTCCCATATCTGCAGGACAAAATTCTCTCGACAGCCTAAGGCCCCTCGTGTAGACATGCTTACTTAAACATGGCATTGTATGTCACTCACCCATCTCATTTCTGCATCAGAACCAGTTGGTTCAATGTCCTTGTCCCAAAACAGAAAGCTATAAATTCCTTCGTTCAATTTGATGACATAAGTAAACATGGATTCAAAGAGTTTAGCTCCAAGGTTGCTCAGTGTGAGGAATTGACTGTGACTAAGGATTTATCCATCATGAAGCTGAAGGACTCTCAAAGAACAAACATGGCAACAGCAATAAATCAGGAATTACAGAAATAACAGCAGACACATAAGTCCTTCCAGGAGGCTGCCTCCAAGAACTGGGTAAGACAAGACCCCAGGACTCCTGTTCTGAGCACCTCCCAGCAGGCACACCCAAGTCAATCTGCTCTGTCAGTCCTCACCTGAAGAGGCAGACTTAAATTCCCACTCATCAAATGGGAAGACTGAGATCACACAGGCTAGCGTGTGGCTGATCTGGGGTGCCAGAGAAAAAAATCAATCGCACCTGCCCAAAAAGTTTTCAGGATGCTGCTGGAGAGACAACCAAGAGCAGCTAACAGTGCGCTTAACACTTACTGAATGGCTATTTTGGCTAGGCAGTTTTCTATGGCTCTTTGTAAGTATCATCCTACACTGTGTGTATTAATACATTCAATGCTCACAGCAACCTTCTCAGAATAATACTATTATTGCCTGGCATTTTAAATCCAAAAAAATCAGGCCCCTGAGAGGTTATGCAAGCACACGGTCATATAGCTGATAAAAAAAATGCTTTTTTTTTTTTTTTTACTTATTTGTTGTTTCTTGCCAGTGTCTACCACTAGAATGAGGGGAAAGGTTGATAGCTGTTTCTTCAGTGCCCAGCTGAGTGCATAGCACATTGCAGATGTTCAATAAATATCTGCTGAATGAATGTCTGACTGGGCCAGGACTTGAACCCAGTAGTCTGGTTCAGAACTAAGCTCATAAACAGTCAAATAACAGTGCAAAGTCAAATATTGATCCAGGAAAATAATGCAAGTGTTGTCACAAGGTATTGAGAATAAATTTCAGTTAGGTATAAGGAAGACCAGGAGGGCTATGATACCAGGGTGGGTTGGTAAGGAAGATCTGAAATCTTCTTATCTAGAACTTGTTAGAACTAATCAAGGTCAAAGTGACCTCTTCATACCCCTCCCTACATAGAGGACACAAAAAACCCTGTCAGGGAAGAGCAAAAGGGGTTAAAGTATTAGCCAGCCAGGGTTCCTACAGGGCGCAAGGAGCCCTAGTTTTCTAAGTTCCCCACGGCAGATGGCTTACTCCATTACTCTGACTCCTGCTCCCTGGGCTGCTGACTTAAACCCTCTCAAGTGTGAAGGGACATCCCATGGCCCACCCCTAAACTGTGCATCAGTTCCTCTGCCTGGATCCCTTAAAGAAAGTCATCCCTTTGGCCGCAACCCCACCCCAGAGCTGGGAAATTCCAGGTGAGAAGCCTTGAGCTCTCCGGCTCCAAGATCTAGGAGAAGCTTGGGCAGGACTTCCCTTCCCTCATCTGCAAGGCCCAGGAGATGCCTGAAACCAGCGCCTCACAGCCTGCAGTGAGCAGACATATCTCCTGGTCTTTTGCCAAAAGTGGATTCTGACTTAGTCCATATGAGATGGGCCTGAAATTGGACATTTATAACAAACTTCCAGGGGATGCCCCTGCTGCTGGTTCCTGGGCCACATTTTGAGAAAACAGACTGTAAATAATCCCACTTTCATTTGTTTGTTTTCTGCCAAAACTTATTCTTCAACTAATCTTAAGAAAGGACATAGTTATAAATCTATATAAAGACTGCATACCCACAAGGGTGCTTAGGAGGGTGTCCACCCTTTCATTTAAGGGCCTTCTGTGTGCCAGGAACAGGGATTAAGGTGGACAACTGTCCTCGTCCTCGTGGAATCCACAGTCTACACAGGAGACAGTTAAAGGAGCAAGCCCAATGCAGGATGGGCAGTGTGGAGGCCAGGTGCCCTGGGGACTGACGGAAGACTTCCTGGAGGAAGTGACATTTGAGCTGGACAACTGGAAAGAGTGTATTGTGGGATCCCTGGCCCAGGACTCTCTAGCTGTTCCTACCAATGCCCGCCAGCCCTTCTCCGTCAGGCTTCCTGACTATTTTTGTCGTTTGTCATGGCCCACTTGGAAATAATATTTGTAGGAGATAAATGGGGGAGACAGCTCACAGCCAGAGGGCTAAGCAGATCACTACCCCAACACACACCCCTAACCACTGGGGCACCCGGTTGGGGGCTTCCACCCCAAGCCCACTCAGACATGCCTGTCCTAAGGAGCATATGGCAAGGGCCCCCACAGTACACGTGGAAAGTGCTTGATGATTTTCAAATCACTTTCACATAGGTTTTCTCATTTGAGTCTCACAACCAGGGCAGGCGTTATTGACCCCGTGTTATTGGTGGGGGGAAGAAATGAGCTGTGAAATGACTCAGCAGGGCCCATGGTGAGTCAGCACCAGGACTAGGCGGGCAGGCCTACAGAAGGACGTTCAGGCCTCAAAATAGGCTAAGCTGCATTGCCACAAATTTTTAAAAGAAGAAAAATGATGATGTGGAAGTACCACCCTTCCTGGGGGGAAAAAACAAAAAACAAACAAACAAACAAACAAACAAACAAACAAAACACTGTCTGTTTCTCTTAAATGCTCTAGACTCTTCCCACCTTCACATTTCAATGGTTGTCCATTGAAATCTATACATTGGCTGCTACTGCCCCTAAGATTCTGAGAACACCTGGCGAATCTCCTCCATGGTGAAAAGCTTGCCTTTCCTCAATACAGCAAAAGCCCTGTAAATGGAACAGTCCACAGTTCGGGAAGACTCAGTGACATAACCTAGAAATAGTTGACTCTAAGCAAGTGGAAGCAATTGCCGATTCAGGATACACACCAGACTTTTCCACAGCTGCGTCAACAATAGCTATAGGAAAGAAATCAAGACAGTACAGGAGGCTTTGGCCACAGATCCCAGGTACCTAAATCAGCCAAGCTTTGGAAGGAAGCCACTTCAAATGTTCATGTTCAAACAATGCTGCAATATTTCTTTGTTTCCACTGAGGTTTCCACTGAATAACAGCTGTCAACAACTCAGGAAGACGGTGGTTTGGTCCAAGTCTTTCTTCTTTGTAAGTGTTCTTTTATAAACATTATATTGCTCTTTTCAGCAAGGGCAATATAAAGGCATGTACAATTATTCCAGAGGGGCCACATATGTCCACATGTGTTCATGGCTTTATTTAGTGTCTGCATCTGAGAGGTGAAACAAAAGTCCAACATATTTTTAAAAAGTATTCTTAAATATATTGTTGAAGGAGGAGGTCATGGAAACACTTTCTCCTATCTGCTAGAAGGGTCCTCTGGTCTCAACAAAAGTTTCAATAGAAGAAATGGTGGTCAGCATGGGCTGCAGGAAGTGGGGAAGGGAAGTTGGCGTTTAGTGGGTTAGCATTCCATTTGGGAAAATGAGAACGTTCTGGAGATGGATGGTGGTGATGGTTGCAGAATAACATGGATGTACTCAGTGTTCCAGAACTATGCACTTAAAAATGGTGAAAATGGGCTGGGCACAGTGGCTCACACCTGTAATCCCAGCACTTTGGGAGGCCGAGGCATAGGCAGATCACTAGGTCAGGAGATCGAGACCATCCTGGCTAACATGGTGAAGCCCCTTCTCCACTAAAAATACAAGTAATTAGCCGGGCGTGGTGGCTGGTGCCTGTAGTCCCAGCTACTCGGGAGGCTGAAGCAGCAGAATGGCGTGAACCCGGGAGGTAGAGCTTGCAATGAGCCGAGATCACGCCACTGCACTCCAGCCTGGGTGACAGAGCGAGACTCCGTCTCAAGAAAGACAGACAGACAGACAGACAGACAGACAGAAAGAGGTCAATTTAACACTATGTATTTTTCACCATAATAAAAAGCATGCCCAAAACAAGTTTTGATAAAATTTTTAAAAACTATCATCATGCTGAAAAGAATCTAGGAGATTTTAAATGTTTATTATACTCTTCTGCTTCATGTTTAACAATAGCCCATGTGGGCTGGGCATGGTGGCTCATGCCTGTAATCCCAACAGTTTGGGAGGCTAAGATGGGAGGATCACTTGAGCCCAGGAATTTGAGAACAGCCTGGGCAATATAGTGAGACCTCATCTCTACAAAAAAAATAGTAAGAAAATTAGCCAAGTACAGTGGCCCATGCCTGCAGTCTTAGCTACTTGGAGGCTGAGGCAGGAGGATCAAGGCTGCGGTGAGCTATGATTGTGCCACTGCACTTCAACCTGGGAGAGAGTATGAGATCCTGTCTCTAAAAGGAAAAAACAAAGAAAAGGAATAGCCCATGTGACTTCACCTAATCATGAACTCTGCATTCAGAGTACCTGATCTGCTGTGCACACTCAGGAATCGTGGACATCCGGGACTGCTGGGCCTCCCATGCCCGTCCCCAGCCAGGCCAGTGTCTGAGCCATGCCCTGCAGCAGCAGTGCTCTGCTTCCTGGGCTGCCCATAGGGGCTGTAGGCAAGTTCTCACCCGGCCCTCTCATCTGGACAGCTACATCTGTCACAATGGGTTCAAGTGACCGAACCAATGAGATCACAGGAAAAAGTCAAGAACTGATTCTTCTAACTCTTTGCTCAGCTAGCCAAAGCTTTTGGTGTTTTCAGTCAACTGATTCCAGGCAAACATTTCCTAGGTTACAACGTGCAGCCCACCTCACCACCATCTTGAGACAGCTCCACAGTTGGCTGTCAGGCTGGACAGTGGCTCAAGGGCACAGTTGCGGGGTACATTGTCTCTCACCTGCTGTCCAGGAGTGCCCTGTGGGACTCACCAGGAGGTACATCTTGTGATGGATGTTGAAACAAGAAACCCAAACATTGCTGGAAGGACCTCTGCTTTCTAGTTCTGAAATCGTTTTTCATCTTTCCTCCATTAAAACAGTTCTTCTGAAGTCATTTTTTTTCCATGGATAAGATGTGTTGTCTTCCCAATGCCTTGCCCATAGACAAACCCCAAAACAAGAATACTTATTGCTTATGGATTGCCTACCAAGGGCCAGAGGCCCCACTCTAGCATCTCTTGTAATTTTCCTAAGAGCCCTGCAGGAGTTTTTATCCCACTTGAGGGATAAGGGGAATGAGGCTCAGAGATGTCAAGTAACTTTCCCCAGCTCACACAGCCAGGGAGTGGCAGAATCAGACTCAACCCCAGATCTGCCTCCCTCCATAACCACACTACCTCTGAAAAGAAACACAAAACTTGGAGAGCTCCACACCACACAACTCACACCGATCCTGAGTTCAGCTGTGACATCCGGATATTTGCAGAACTCTGGGTCAGTGATTGAAATGATCTGTTTTCAGAACAGAGGCCGCCCCAGATGCTAACCACCTCGCAGCCCCCTGTGGAATGGCTACCACCCAGGAGGCCCTCAGGAATGATGTCTAGTCACAGAATTCAACGTTGAATGCTATTTGTGTTAGTTGCCTGGATGTAGCCCATTCAATAATTCAGCATCAGAATGATAACAAACCACATGAAAGAGATCAGCACATGCTGTGGAAGGCTGCTTGACAGAGCAAGGCAACACCACGGTATCAGGTTTTCCCCTAAAATTAGTCTCCATACGGTACTCATAACGCTGTCTGGACTTCAGGCAAAGAACTGGCCGGTTGGCAGCATCCATTTACAGAATACATTCCCACAGCGTACCTGGAAAATCACATTCACATCTAACACCGAGGATCTGGCCAGCCCTTCCGTGGGAAGCGAAGCCAAGGTGAGAGAAAGTATCTCTGATGGGGCGGAGGAGAACAGATGGGCACAGGGTCTGTACACGCCCCAGTGAGTGAGGAAGGGCAGTCCGTCCAGAGGGCAGGTGAAAAGCAATACCTAGAACATTGATGGAGGCCCTTGTCTGTTCCAGGGGGAGGGGGCTCAAGGGGTCCCGGACCCCTTTCTCTCGAATTCAGGCAAACCAATGCTCCCCAACCCCAGCTGACAAGCATCGGCTCTGACCTCATTGCCTTGTTTGTAAGCCCTCCCACATCATCTGCAGGGGTGAGCATGCATAATCAGGCAAAAGAAAAGACCTTGGAACATGTGGTTCTGGAAAATATTTCTAGTTAATTCAGAGGTTCTCCAACTTCATCGTGCATCAGAGCCCCCTGGCAGGCTTGTGAAAACACATGTTGTGGGCCCCAGCCCCAGGGTCTCTGATTCAGCAGGTACTGGGTGGAGAATTTGCTTCTCTAAGTTCCCAGGTGATGCTGATGATGCTGGCCCAAGGACCACACTTTGAGAACCACCAGTCTAATTATTTAAAGTAAGTGATCTAAGGGCATGAGAACATTGCTCTGAATAACAAGGATATTATCATCGAATGCCTCCCATGTGCCAGACACTTTACTGCCTTGGATATTTACAACCCCCTTGCCAAGTAGGAATTAGTATCTCTGCTTCACAGACTAGAATGCTGGGGCTCAGGAGTTGAGTGACCTGCCTAACATTGCACAGCTCATGATTGAGGGAGCCGAGATTTTAACTGAGGTCAGGATGACTAGGACCTTCCTTCTTTCCACCTCCTTTCCCATCTCATCTGGTGACCCTGGGACAGGGGAAGGATTCACGAAAACCCTGTGTTCTGACAATGCCAAGTGCCACGCAAGCCGACTGAAAACCCAGCTCACGGACAGGCCGGCCACCTTTGGGGATATG
Source organism: Homo sapiens (assembly GCF_000001405.40). Taxonomy (NCBI): domain Eukaryota; kingdom Metazoa; phylum Chordata; class Mammalia; order Primates; family Hominidae; genus Homo; species Homo sapiens. Next base: position 234,898,242 of record NC_000001.11, read on the forward strand.
ATGTTCACAGGCACTTCAGGTCCCTAAGCAGTGACAGATGCCACAGACTCTGAGCTGGCCTGGCAGAGAATCAGGTGACAGGTGGACTCTTGAGTTACACCTATCCTCAAAGAGCAACAGTGCCTTCCATTTGAATGGCGTTACAGCTGACGGTCCTCACCTCCAAGTGTGGGGAGGAAAGTTGAGTCTGTGATAGACAAGGCGTGCACTTTAGAGGCGGAAGTATTGTGTTGCCTGTGCGCCCTGCCAACTCGAAGAAGGAGAGGAAGGAAAAGCAACTACTACTCACTAAGTACCTACTGTGAGCCAGATTACTCTTCATACCAACCATCTGTTTTAGGAATCAGGAAGCTGTGATCAGAGAGGTTAAGTAACTTGCCTCAGGAGGCACAGTGAGCAAGAAACTGGGAGATGGGACTTGAACTCAGGTCTCCCAGAAGACTCCATCTGTGCCCACCCTCTGACAGGCCTAACAAAATCTCGGGTTCAGAGCAGATCCTTAAAGCCTTCCAGTCCAGCTCCCTGGTTAGGCTCATGAGACGGCCACGATGTGTCTGCCCAGTGACAACCAGCACAAACCGGAAGGTCCACCCCTCTCTGCCGTGTCACCTGCTGAAATTCCCCTTCTGCCTTAACATTCCCTCTGAACAGGAAAGAACATTTTCAACACCCCAACACCTTCCCAATAAGGAGTTTGGCAAGGGCAGGGCTGCTCCCCAATCCATGTGATTTTGAGGTTGATTTCACCAAGACACAAAGAACCTCTCGTCCTTTCTCACCAGCTCCACTTGCTGGGGCAGGAGCAGCTGCCTTCAGCCCGGAGGAGGGCTTTCCGAGACACCTGTGCCACAGGTAACCTGAGCTGGAACCTCAGTTCTACATAACTTGTACCTGGGGAGTTTGTGCCTCCCAGAGCCACAAAACACAGATTCAGGCAGAGCCACAGTGCAAACAGTCACGCCTGCTCTCCAGAGCCCAGCATGACTGCAGGATGACAACATACCCCACCTGGGAAAGCAGGCACCAGCCCTGCACAGACACCGCCTGGCCTCCACGTCAGCCTCTGTGTTGCACCGTCTCAGCCACATCTTTTCACAGATAAACCTCTGAAGTTCCCCCTACCCCCACCCCCATGCCCAGAGTTTCAGCTTCATAAGGTGCATAACCAGAAAAGCACTTGAGGGTAAACTGGGTTCACACTGGGCTCAGCCCCAGGGCCTCAAACAGTTCCTAGAGGAAAAATTCAGCCAGGCAGCAGAATCCTGAATCTTCTTCTGCTTTGGGGTGCAGAGAGAGCCTCCTCTTACATTCCAAAGCAGTCTGTCAGCCCAGGACACATGGCATTGTCACACTTCCCAGCAATGACCTTCTGATCTGAATTTCTGCCAGACTAAACATCCGGGCACCAGCGCGCAATGGAGAAGCCGCCGCCATTCACTGAGGTTGCTATCTCCTACCATTTAGTGTTGCCTCTTGCCTTGTTTGATAACAAGATGTTGTGTGTCTCAATGTAAATACAATCAGAGGCAGCATATGGCTCGCAAAACACCATTTACAACTATTAGCGTGCACCAGCTTTCTGCTCAGCTACGCTCCACGCTGCCATGGCGCAGAGTCGTGGGGGTCCGCCTTCTCCTTGGCCTCAATCTGTCTGCCGAGGCTCCCTCCGATGCTAATGAGAAGGAAGCATGTGGGTCCCGGGGAGACCAAGTCTCAGCATGCGGCGCTCAATGAAGTCAAGCAATCGTCCAAAGTGAAATATTGAATTGAAATGAACCTGCTGTTTCTGCAAGAAGATGTTTTTGGGCTAAGGCAGTTTCAAGATGCAATCCAACCAAAACATCCGTGAAACCAGAGAAACGGGGATCCTTGAGAACAGTCGCATTACAGCACAATTTAAATACATTCTGAATGTGTTTTTAGACATACCTAATTTCACCGGGCTCAAAGCTCAACTTATGGAGGGGATCGATGAATCGTGGGCGTCGTTACAGTCATGGGTTTTCCTTGTGAGAGTCTTCCAACTTTTTCAAAATGCGAGATTTTGCCAGGGTGATCTGGGCCAGCCCTTATCTTGCCACGCTGGTTGTAGAAATCTTAGTGGTGACCCTTCTGTAACATGGACACCATGAAAATGCTGCATGGGCCTTATCGACTCACACATTCACTTTTTGAAAATTTTTGTTTGTATGCTCATTCTATATGGGAATGCCGATCACATTCTGGGTCTCATTTTCAGACCCTCAGGGACAAGAAACTCAAACCTCTTCTCCATATCTTTTGTCCTATGTCTTTGGGGAAGGGGAAAAATACTACTGGGGCGGCCACAGTCAGCCAGGAGAGAATCAGGGGACCAGGTGAAGTGAGCAGGTAGAGGGGAACTGATGCAGCACAGGGCCTGGGGGAAGATACAGCAAATAAGTGAGATCAGGAACACGGTGAGAGCAAAGACAGGGTCAGACACAGGTCAGACCCAATCAGGACAGGGCCCACAGAGTGCAATCCAGCCTGAGACAGTGCCTGGACAGAAGCTTCCCAGAGAGATGACTGCAGCTGTTTCAGGCCTGCACGTGCTACAACCTTATGCCAACTACAAAAGGATACTCTTAGTCTGGGCCAACTGACCACACAGCCTTTACTCCAACTCTGCACCACTTCAGGAACCAACTGGAACAGAAGTGACCCATGGAGCCGCCCATGCCTCTTAAAAGCACCCTTCTGTCTAAGAAGGATGCCTCATCCAGAACCCCTGGAGCAAGGATAAGTCGCTACCAGGAGGTAAAAAGAGACAGCCTCGAGTGGTTATTCTTCAGCAGGGTCTTGCTCTATATGAGTAGTCAGCACTCTCAGGAGACACAGGCAAAAGGGACTCCTCCCCTGAGATGGTTTAGACAGCGCCACAGTCACAAATGCAAACAAACAAACAAAAAAATGTAATTTCTTTTTTTTTTTTCTTTTTTCTTTTTTTGAGAAGGAGTTTCCCTCTTTCGCCCAGGCCAGACTGCAGTGGTGCTATCTCGGCTCACTGCAAGCTCCGCCTCCCGGGTTCACACCATTCTCCTGCCTCAGCCTCCTGAGTAGCTGGGATCACAGGCGCCCACCACTGCGCCCGGCTAAAAAAAAACGTCATTTCATTAATGCTCACGGAGGTCCCTCAGTCGCTTGGGATCCAGCACTCATAATCCCAAACATCCACTCTTGTAGCCAGGAAACCCTTCTCCGTGGCTTCCCCATATTTTTTGCCCTATGTCTTTGTGGGGAGGGCTAAGGAAAGCCGCTCCCTCCAGGTGCCATGGAGGTCTGTGGACTGCACTGTGGCTGCTGATGTCGGAGAGGACAGTGTTTTGGAGTGGGAGATGATTTGAGTTGCTGACTAATATGGGTGAGAGAAAAGACAAATTCATATGACCTTTTCCCTCGGATACCATGAATGAACAGATTCTTGCATAACGAATAATCGTTTCCCAGTGGAGCGGTTCACCCATTTCCCCACCTCTCTTCCTGCTCTGATTCCTGTTCCTGGAGATACTGAAGAAGTAACATGGTATTTGCAACAATGGTACAAGGTAGCAGAGGAATATCGTGCAACGTTTAACAATTCCTGTTATTCTTAAGCCAGTATCTACGTCGATCTACATGCACCCATGCATGATGTAAAACAGAGCTTCTTTAGGTTGGCAACTGGATGGAAATTGAATGCTAGAAATGTGAAGTATGACTTACAAAAGTATTTAATAAGATTTTGTTTCATTTACAGAAAATCAAATTTAAAAGTCAGTTTTATTTCAAGAATTTTTATTTACCATTTTGACACTTATTAATTATAATTTGTAATTTTGCGTTTGACTTTTCATGTTAATGTTACAAGAAAAAATAACTTCTTTGAAAATAGATATGAGAAAATGCCTCTTTGATGTTTTCACATGTATTTTCTCATTTTTGATGAAAATATATTCAAATTTTGCATACTTTAAATACATTTACATTTTTAAAATCCTTTAGCTCATTGCTATCAATAGAACAAAATTATGTAAAAATGTTCATTGTAATGACAGAATCTGTGATCACGATGAAATTAAGGCAAAAAAATTAAGGAAGTAAATATATGATCGTTATAAATTATGAGTCTTTATTTTGTTAGTCATTCAAACAAAACAAAAGAATATTTAAACCTGTATGGCAATAATTGATTCAGTCGTTTTTTATATCTGCTAACTTTGGATCATGTAAAAACTATAGCTTTACCTAATTTTTCAATTTTGTCTTTATGCATATTTTTGAAGTATGAGAACAAACTGTATTTTTTCTAACTCTTTGTAAGCTTGATTGATATTTCTGTATATTTGGGCAAACGAGGGACTTTCTCTGCACTCCTGCCCTGGGCTCTGCATATGTTAGAGGTAGACCCTTCAGTATGAAGAGGATGAGGCCACACACACACAAACATGGAGGGCAGGCAGTATCCGTTTTCCTTTAAGTAACCACCTTTAGATGACTTCAGAACACCTTCAGCTTTTGTTTACAGAAATTTCGTTTGGCCTTTGTAGGAACTTTTCTCACAAGTCTTGCGTACCCAGCACGTAGCTCGGTGCCTGACACAGGAGCCATTCAATCAGCATTTGTTGACCTTCTGCACCTGACAAGCCACCCCGGGTGCTGTAGCTTCCACTCTTCTATTCATTACACATGAGAAGAGAATATGAAACCTCAACAGATTGTGACTGAAGTCTAGATGGTTTCATCAACAGCTGTACATCCCCCAAAAGGAGATACTGAATTGGATTTCACTCATAGGTCACAATTCGACACAACTGTAAACTGTCACCATCACCCTCAAACACAGGGGTGCCATCACTCCAGAAACAGGGGCCTGAAAAATCTTATTATTATATCCCTTAGGTGGCATGCATCACAGGGCACCAAAGTCCCCCCTTCCTTTGTTTCTGGAAGAAAAAGGACCGCCATGGGAACCGAGCTGCTGTATCTGTGAGTGCTTCACAGCAAGAGAAAGTGAAGAGGTGTGTGGGGTAGCAGAAGGCAGTATGACAACCCAGGCTGGGGAACAACAGCTGAGCTTCACATCACAAGGGGATGCATTTTCAGCCAGCCACACACACACCCCCCAGGATGCCAGGTTGCAAAACACTCAAATTCATCTGGAAGCAATAGCACCACCAAAGATCATTTTCACCAAGTAATGAAACAGGTCAGACCACCTTTTTCTTATCTACACATAACAGATTCATTTCTCCCAAACAGTAGGTATAGTATTGTCTTTGCCCCTGGGGTTAGTTCTTCTCAACCTTTTACACAAAATGGCACAGGTATAAAATAATATTTCTGTGGCACGCAGGGGTAAATGGGAGGCTGCTGTTCAAAGCAGGTGATTGGCCCAGGACTTCTGGCTGCTGCTGGCCCCAAGGAGGTGGGAGTCACAGAATTTTGGCACAGCTGAAATGCATTTGGCACAGGCCTCAGTCCATCCATTGGGAAGCCTTGCTACAAGACGATGCCTTTCCTAATACAGTTCCAGAAAGTAGATGGAAGGGGTCCTTTATAATCGTAGATGCACCACTCACCAAGGGAAGGGGCTGAAGAAAGACCTGCCATACATTGTGTGAAGTGGCTCTGCCTTCAATTTCATGGCCAAAGCACAGTCCTGCCCACTTGAAGAAATAGGATCTACCTTAGGAAGATGAGAGAGGTCCTTGGAGGCTTTACTCCTGATTTCCTCTTCTCGTACCCACTTTCCCACCAGGGAAGAGCTCCCTGCCCTACTTCGGGATCTTGACTTCCCTGGTGGGCTCCTCAGATTCTCCCCTCACTCAAACAGAGAGGGCCACCCAGCAGTGATGTTCCCTGCTCCTTTGGCAGAGCTTCCAGCCGCCTAAGATGCTGCCTCAACAGCATTTACATGTTTAGGCTTTCATCTCTAAGGAATTTTTCCGGGCATGGGGGTGCATGCCTGTAATCCCAGCTATTCTGGAGGCTGAAGCAGGAAGATCGCTTGAGCCCGGGAGTTCTGGGCTGCGGTGCGCTGTGCTGATCAGGTGTCCACACTAGGTTCAGCATCACTAAGGTGACCTCCTGGGAGCCAGGGACCACCAGCTTGTCTAAGGTGGGTGAACAGACCCCGCCCGGGTCGGAAACGGAACAGGTCAAAACTCCCATGTCCATCAATAAGGGGATCGTGCCTGTGAATAGCCACTGTACTCCAGGCTGGGCAACATAGCGAGGCCCCATGTCTAAAAAACAGAATAAAATATTTTTCTAGGAATCACAGTATCAGTAAGTAGGAAGCTCCTTGCTGCTGCTGGAAATGGGATTGCGTATGACATTGGTAGGATTAATAAGGTGGGTGCTCCTGAAATCACTCAAAGCCTTCTAGCATGACCCCAAAGGTGACCGATTTGCAAATGTTGATTAAATTGTTCCTCCAAGCAAATCTGGTGAGGATAAAATTAAAAGAATGCCTGAAAAGCATTTTTTAAATTTTGATTAAAAGTCCGTGGCACACAGCGAATCGGACACCCAGAGCAGAACATTTAACAACCTCTGCATGCCACAAAACTATTCACGTAAAGATCACATAATAATCAGTCATGGCCATTACTTTCTTGATGTTTTCTTTATCTTTAAAATCAACAATTAAAAATTTGGAAAGAAAAATAAATGCCAGCGTTGAAAATACTATTCAGACACAGAAAAATATTTTACGTATGAACTAAAATTTGTACTCACCAAACAAAAATATTACACCTTGCAATTCACACTCTGCTTCACTGTGTTAAATTTTTAACATAAACAAAATCTTCAAGCAGTGATGCAGACTGACGGAATTGAAGTAGTTTAAGTTTATATTTTTGTCTTCACAATTACAAACTATCATTCCTCCTTCTGAATCCACAGAAATTTTTATCTGTCTTTTGAAAAATATTCTGTTCATGTACAAAGCATATGTGTGTATGTATGTCTACCCGCATATACATGCACACACATCACCTTTTAAAATATTGTTAAATGTTCGGCAGGTTTCTAACTTCATTTAACACTATATATTGGAGATTGTACCATAGGTACTCTATTATAGTATATATCAGTTTGTATAAATCTACCTTATTTTTGTTGGCAATTGAATCATATTCTATTAAATTGATATACCATTTTGTAAAGGAATGTGTTGTACCCAGGGATGGAAGACATAAACTACACCCACAGTCAGAATTAATGCTTCCAGTTCATTACAAATTCACTCCCAAAATGAAACATAGTTCTGGATACATGTGTTGGGAGAATCAACCCGCATACCTGAATGTTCTCCAAATTACTTCCCGTTACTTTCCGCAGAGAATACAATTCCTTATTAAAGAAGACATTTAGAAACTGCTAAGACACCTCCCTATTTTATTACAGCTCAACAGTAACTGTATCAATTGTTCAGAATTTAGAGCATAACTTTTTGCACAAGATGACTTTTATCACAGGTATTATCTAACACTGCTTGTGTTTGGTGATAATAAAAAGTAGACTCAATATTTGGTTGATTTTACGCTTGTTTTAAAATTATCTGCAGAAAATGCATCCTGTTATTGCCTGCTCCAGGGAAGACCACTCCCCCGGCTCTGGCTTAGTGCATCCCTGCTAAACATTGTATCACTCCTTGTCTAAAATACAAGCTCTAAGGCTGCCTTCAATCAGCTCCCTGTTTTGAAATGAGATAAACAAATGGTGGAGAGCTTTGTTCTGTAACAAATCCTAATCTTTTTCTCTACTCTAGCACCAGCCAGTTGGCATAAAGGTTATAGACGATGGAAGGCAAAAGAGAAAATCATGTCAATAACTTTTTTTTTTTAAATGGAGTCTTGCTCTGTTGCCCAGGCTGGAGTGCAGTGGTGGTCTCAGTTCACTGCAACCTCTGCCTCCCGGGTTCAAGCGATTCTCCTGCCTCAGCATCTCGAGTAGATGGGACTACAGGCGCATGCCACCACGCCCAGCTAAATTTTTTTTTGTATTTTTAGTAGAGACGGTGTTTCACCGTGTTAGCCAAGATGGTCTCAATCTCCTGACCTCGTGATCCACCTGCCTCAGCCTCCCAAAGTGCTAGGATTACAGGCGTGAGCCACCTTGCCCAGCCAATAACTTCCAAACTCTTACCCCAGTGTCCAGCACCAGGACGGTGGCCACGTACATGCCCCCTACCAGGCCAAGAACTTTGTGTTAATAATTTCATTTAATCCTGTGAACCCTGGGAAGGAGATGGAAAAGTATTAGCATGCCCAATTTTCAGGTGAGAAAATGAAGGCTCAGAGAGATGAAGTGAATTACCCACAGCCTCACAGCTAGTGAGGGACGGAATCCTGATTTACACCCAGCCCACTTAGCTCTGAACCTCCAGCCCAGACCACTCAGGGAAGTAGGTGAAGAGTTAAATCCCTAACAGTCTAGAATGAATACGGTGATAAGTTTCTTAGATGTTCTCCCTTACTTGAAAGATAAGAGCAGCAAAATGGTACTAAGACCCTGGCAAGAAAGGTGGTTTTTGTTTCTCTCTTCATGCCGCCCAGCATGAAGACTGAATGCAGAAAGAGGAAGAGGACCATGACAAGGGCCACTTTACTGCAGTCACTGAGGCACTCGGGGGGGGGCATTTCACGTGCATCCTTGTCACACACATTGTCTAGCACCTGGCGTGCACCAAGTACCACTCCAGGTGCCACAGCAGAAACCTTCTCCTCCTATTCTATATCCTCCTATTCTGCATGGAGCCAGTCAAGGAAAATGTCACTATAAGGAAATATTGTCACTCTAAGGAAACATGTCACCCAGCCTGTGTCTTAAAGAACTAGCATTCTGTGTGGAAAAACATCTGGTTGATTCTACAAGCTGGGAAGACAAGAAGGAACATCATCCAACCACATGCTTCCTCCCTGAGAATTCATTTTCCAGCAAAGGATACACTTGGCCTTGGGGTTCGCCAGCCTGGTGGCCTGGGTGTGGGTCCTGACCTAACCATTATATTTCTTCAGCTGTTTTCTCCCAGAATCACAGCCATCTCCAGAAAGGCTGGCCGCTTCCTAAGTACAGAACCATACATTTCCAAAGTCCTCTGGTGGGATCAGGCACTCAGATTCCCAGACCAGCACTGTGACCACTGTTTCCATTGCTCCCTGGACACCCGTATATTCCAGCGTTTGAAACTTTGAGCTTTGGAACATCAGACCTGTTTCTCATCTTAAAGAAAAAGTTACATAGGAAAAATGAAACCATTGCCCTGAGAAATGCAGGAAAAAAACAAAAACAAACAAACAAAAAAACACCTTGAGCCTGAGAAGGTAGGAAGAAACAAAGCTAAGATTCAAACCGAAGTCTTCTAGCTCCACAACTCCTGTTTTTTCTAACTGTTTCTTTTCCTGCATAGCATCTTCTTGATCAATTTCTCAACTACTGATAAACCCATGTCACAGGCTTCAATGGCACTGTCCCAGCTGATGTGAAAATCTGTTGGTCTGGTATTTCATGGCCTTCTTTAAAAAAAAAGAGAGGGAGAGCCGGTCTCGACAGAGACCTCGGTAGATGCCAGACTCTGTGCTGGGTGCTTTCTACGCCTTGTCTCCTTTAAGTTTCATGAGAGCCTCATGAGGTCAGGACTATTATTTGGTTCTATTTGGGGGGGTTGCTAGAATTCGGAAATTGCCTTTGCTTTTTTCTGGGTGCCAAATCACTGAACCGCTGAACAGGACTCTGGTAATGCTAGTATCTGGAGCTAATGAGTAACTTTATCACAGAATGCCTGAGCAGCTGGAATAAGTGCTGGGAGGAGACACAGGTCCCGGCCCAGGAAAAACTCTTGTGGTTGGCAAATAATGCAGGATCTTTATGGTGGAAGATTTAATTTCCCTGTATGTGTTTTTTCTTACTTAAAAAAAAAAAAAAAAAAAAAACTTTCAGCACTTAATGCCCCATCACAGCAGCACAGTATGCGTGTCGTGCTAACATCTGGAAATACTTAGTGGTATTACAAACAGTTAAGGAGTTCACCCAGATAATCACATACAAATTGGACTCTAACCCAGATTCATAGTAGTGCGTATCAAGAGTGAAAGAGCATTAAGTTCCTGACTGCAATCTTCTCCTCTAGAGCTGAAACAGACATCGTTAGTTCAGGTTCCTGAGCCTGAAACAGGCTTGGAGGTCCTGGGTCTGTTTCCTGCTGGTAGACTCAATGGAATCCAGCAGAAATGAGGCCACAGGAGCCCAGGCTAGGCAGGGCCCTGGATGAGACAAGGTGTGACCCAGACAGACTGGAGGAAACTCAGTCTAGGGTATGAGAGCAAATGTGGGTCTATAGGCAGGGGATAGAGGGGAAGCAAGGGGTCAGGACCAATGGACAGCACCAAGCACTAGGGCTCAGGGCCAGACCATCAGCAAGAGCTCGGTGGCTGGGTCATCAGAAGCACAGCAAGCCACAGTCAGGACACAGGCCGGGAACACGATGCTAAGGTTAAGGCCCTTCCTGGCAGGTGCTTATGGAGGGGGGCTGTTAAACCCACCGAATGCAGACCCAAGTGGGGCTGGATGTGCACACACAGTCCCCTGCCACTCGCCGCTGCCTGCTGGGCCTTCTCCACTGTGGCTGTTACGTGTCTCCTCCCAGCACCCTCCGAGGCCGCCTTCTCCTATATTTCCAAAGCCAGTCTGTGTGTGCAGGCCCCTTGCCTCCAGAGGCTCCAGCTTCATCTCAAGAATCATTCGCTCTCTGTTCCAGTTCACCCCAATGCACCTCGCCTCCCATTTCTATTGCGAACAGAGCTCTCAGAGCCTTTCAGGGACTCCTGTGGCCATCACCAAACTGTTGGCCAAAGAACACAAAGGCAAACGAAGTACAAAGCCCCCTCCTCTTCCAGCCCTCTCGGCCCCCCACCCCACCCTAACTTGACAGTTGCTCTCTAGTGTCACAGAGTCTTCTATTTGCAGAAAGAATGCTAGGAGGATACACTGGGCTACTGGATATATACCCATGCAATCCCTTAACTACAAAACTAACCTCCTTTTCTTCCACAAACCTCCTTATAGGTTTATTCCAGACTCAGCAATTAACACCACTGTCCACTCAAAGCTAGAAACCCAAGGGCTACCCCAAACTCCTCCTCCCTCACTTCTCCCCATATCCAAACAAATACCAAGTCCAGTGATTTTTTTAATTCTAAAAACTTCTCACAGTTGTGCCCTCCTATCTACCTGGGCTCCACCATGACTCACATACCTGTGACAATAGCCTCTAAGTTGGACTTCTGGCCTCTAAGTGCTTCCAGGACAATCTTTCTAAAATATGAATTTTATAGTGAGCTTCCCTTCCTTGGAAGCCTTCACTGATCTCCTATGGGAGATGGATGGCATTTGCTCCTCATCAGAAATCCAAGACCCTGGGAGATATCAGTCCTTTATCTCCTCCAGCCTCCTCTTTCTCCCTGGTTCAGATCAGAGGGATTTAACCAGGACTGTGAATAGGCTGCAAAGTCCATCAAGATCTACCAAGATCATGTGCACAATGCCGGGCATATGTGTGCCAGAAATGGAGAGACTCCCAGTAGCTTTCAAATGTCTCTCAAGAGTCCATGGCCCAAACACAAGGTAAGAATCCTTCATATGGCATTCCTCCACAAGCTAGGCCCTGCTATCAGAAGTTTTCAAACATTTCACCATGAGCCACAGTAAGAAATAGATTATCCTGGTTTTGTTTTTGTTTTTGTTTTTAGGAGACAGGGTCTCACGCTGTCACCCAAGCTGGAGTACAGTTGTGCAATCATAGTTCACTGCAGCCTCAAACCCCTGGGCTCAGGCGATCCTTTCACCTCAGCCTCTCGAATAGCGAGGACTGCAGGCAGGCATCACCATGCCCAGCTAATTTTTTAATTTTTTGTAGAGATGGGGTCTTGCTATGTAGCCCAGGCTGGTCTTGAACTCCTGGCCTCAAGCAATCCTCCTGCCTCAGCCTCCCAAAATGTTGGGATTATAGGTGTGAGCCACCACACTTGGGCAGAAACAGATTATCTTTACACATAAGACAGAACGAAATTTTCACAAAAGAGTCCTTATTCTTACTACATTGGATATACTCTGACCTCTACTATTCTAGCTATTTTTTTAATGCTGACTGTGACCCATTAAACTGATTTTACAACCCACCCACCAGTGGATTCCAACCTGCAGTTTGCAACGGAGGTCTTGATATTGTATTGTCTTTATGATTCTCGGTTATTTTGTGTGCTCTTGATTATTTTTGGCCTCACAACCAGATTATAAGTTGCAACTGGATTGTAAGTTCCTTAAGGGCAGGGACCATGATTTATACATGTTCGATATTGCTTGTAGGACATAGTAGCCACATTAGAAATATTTTGATTCACTGAAACAAGAAAACATCTGGAAGAAAATGTGGGAAAGTCCTGAAACAAAGGCTTCTTGGGACAGAACTTGCCAGCTATTTCATGCATGGAGATGTAAAAATAATTATTTGATGAATGAGTATTCACTGGTTTGTACCTGTGGATGCAACAGGGTAGAGTCTGTGTGGTGGTGGCTCAGTGCAACCACAGCTTACATGAATCTATTTCCTAGGATGGGAGATACACAGGCCGGTGTAGTAGGAAATACATGGGGCTATGAATAGCTCAGCAAAAGCAAAAGATGTACTGTTTCATGTATTTTTTAGCTACAGGAGAAAAAAAATCATTATTGAAATAAAGATGCTGCTTTAAGAGCTAGAACCAGAAATACCATTTGACCCAGTAACCCCATTGCTGGGTATATACCCAGGGGAATAGAAATAATTCTGTTACAAAGATGCATGCACATGTATGTTCACTGCAGCATTATTCACAGTAGCAAAGACACAGAATCAACCCAAATGCCCATCGATAATAGACTGGATAAAGAAAATGTGGTACATATACACCGTGGAATATTGTGCAGCCATAAAAAAGAATGAGATCATATCCTTTGCAGGGACATGGATGAAGCTGGAAGCCATTATCCTCAGCAAACTACCGCAGGGACAGAAAAACCAAACACCACATGTTCTCACTTATGAGTGAGAGCTGAACAATGGGATCACATGGACATGGGGAGGGAAACGGCACACACTGGGGCCTGTTTGGGGGTAGAGTGGGGTGGAGGGAAAGTATTAGAAAGGATAGCTAATGCATGCTGAGCTTAATACCTAGGTGACGAGTTGATGGGTACAGCAAACCACCATGGCACATGTTTACCTATATAACAAACCTGCACTTACTGCACATGTATCTTGGAACTTAAAACTGAAAAAAAGAAAAAAACAAAGATGCTGCTTTGTAGATGACACCACAAGGTAAGGAAGTAACTTTTTTTATTATTAAATCTATCAATCGGTCTATAAGAATTTGTTGCTCTCTGCTGTTGGTGCTATACCAGGCACAGGATTTGGGGACTGTGTGCCTCCTCCTCTCCAGAGCATAAGAAACCAGTAGACATGAAAAAAGTAACAGATCTAAATGATGAAGGGTTAAACTGGTGGTGTGAACTCAAAGGGAAACGTTCAGGAAAGGAGACCTCACACTCTAAGGTGAATTCTTTATTCTAACCCAAAGCTAAAGTGCTAATATTGTCTTGGCATAAACAATACCACAGGAAACCAGGGGCTGGGCCAGCTAGAGGGCCTTTGTCAAGCACTGTGGCTGCTTCTAAGGGTAGAGAGGCTGCCCCGGGCTGGCTTGTGTGTGGAAGGCGGAGGGCTGCCCCGGGCTGCCTTGTGTGTGGAAGGCGGAGGAGACACTGTTTGGGATGTCGCTCTGCCCTCCACCCATCACAGCCCTCAAAGCCCCCACCTTTGACGGGGAGCGTCTTCCCTTTCCTGCACAAATGCCACTGACAGTGTTAATGGACTAGGCTGCTCCTCCTCTTGACTGTCCCACCCCAACCCCCCAATCCCATCATACACAGACCAGAAGGCACATTCTATCCACCACCTCGTTCTCCTCATCTCCAAAGTGAGAAAACAATTTCTGCCTTTTGTGGTTGTTGTCAGAGGGTGAACTGAGACCTGTGTCTTCAGGACCTAGAGCATAGTATGCACAAAATTAATGGTGGTTGCTAATGATTTTATTTTATTCCCTTCGTTGAAGGACTTGTATCACATTCCTGTGTTTGCCTCTCTGACCTGCCAAAGAGCATAAGGGCTCAGAGGGAAGGAGATACAGCTAAAAAAAATAAAATAAAATAAGCCCTTCTATGGTTTGAGTGTTTGTCCCCTGCAAAACTCATATTGGAATGTAAGCCCAGTGTGGCAGTGTTGAGAGGTGGGGCCTTTAAGTGGTGATTGGGTCATGAAAGCTCTGCCCTCATGAATGAATTGATCTATTCATGGATTAATAGATTAGTGGGTTATTGGGTTATCATGGGAGTAAAACTGGTAGCTTTTTAAGAACAGGAAGAGAGACCTGAGCTAGTACGTTCAGCCCCTTACCATGTGATGCCCTGCACACGTCATCCTCTGCAGAGAGTTCCCAGCAGCAAGAAGGCCCTCACCAGATGCGGCCCCTCCACCTGGGACTTCCAAGCCTCCATAACTATAAGAAACAAATTCCTTTTTTTAAAAAAAAGGAATGTATTACCCAAATTCAGGTATTCTGATATAAGCAACAGAAAATGGACTAAGACAAGCCCCAACCCTGCCAATGCCCAGCACAATGCCCAACACACTTGTGCATGCCAGCTCCCAGGCAACAGTGGCAATGGCCGGAATAAAAATAGCCCAGGCCCCCAGGATTTGAGTAAACAGCAGCATTTCATTTTTCAAGTGGAATTTGGCTGAGGCAACGGCACATTGCACCTCCTTTACCAAACGACATTCGCTTCTCCCACACCTCACCTCACCCAACCCCTCGCTGACCACTTGGAATTTAGGGTGATTCACCTGGGCCCCAAAGCCATCACCCCCCCACAGAGGGCAGCAAAGGGACAAGCGGCAGGGAGGATCCTTTGTTCATATCTCCCTGGATGTGCTCTCCAGAGGCAAACTCACTCTCTACGAACTCGAGTCCAAAAGCATGAGAACAGGAGGAAATGTTCGGCTGGGCATTTCTTAATCAAACAAAATAAACTCGGCTACAAGTAGCTTCGAATCTGCCCTCTGGGAGCAGTTCTCTGCCTTTGACACTCTCCCTGGAGACCCATGCTTTGGAAAGGAGATTTAAGATTCCCACCGTAGAGTAAATGCACTCTTCAATTGCAATGCAGCAAAAATGGCCACATATCGGCCATGATAAACCCGTGGCCATATAAACACAGGCTTCTCTCTCTTCTCACCATGGCCTTTGAATCATAATAAACTTCCCTTGGGTTTTGGGTAGTTGTGTTTTTGTTGCATTTAGTTTTTTTCCAATGTATTTAAATGCCAACCACTCCCTCCTCGTTCATATTTGCATTATGGACAAGCTCGTGCCTTTCAGTACAAATAATCCGATGGCAACACGTGGCTACCAACTTGCCCCGTTTCTAGGAAAAGCTGAAGCTGATCATCCTCACCTCCTTGGTGTGAGAACACAGGACCGGGGGGCCTCCGATCTCCTCCTGCCCATTCTGCATATGAAAGAGGGAGTGAGAAGGAAGCCGCAGGGCCTTCTCCAAAACACAGCGGGGCACTGCTTGCAGGTGGCCCGCCAAAGCCGTTCTGTTGTTCCTCCATGGCAGCAGCATTTCTACCTGGGCATACGGCCTTCCAGAATAAACACCACCTTCTCAGCCTCCTTTGCCACCAGATGTGGCCATGTAGTAAGGGCTAGGGAGCAGCAAGTAAGCTGAAGTGCCCTGTGGCTGCACTTGGCGTTTCTTCTTTGTCCCCTCTTCCTTCCTGCTGCCTGAAATGTGGGTGCCGCCATCTCCGACCACGAGGATGAGGAATGGCTTTGTAGACAGGTACTTTAACAAGGACAGAGCTGAGGATCTAGGGAATCTGGGCCCCTGAGGACTTGGTGGATCACTTCCCTCTGGACTTGGTTTATGTGGGAGAAATAAACTCCCATCTTGTTTAAGCCATACTTACATTGATTGGCCCTTTTGTACCTTGGAATTGAGGACACCCCCCACCTCCCCCACTTTGCCTCCTTTAGGGGTTTCCAGGCCAGACTGTCCCCGAGTAGTGATCGGCCTATGGAATTGAGGGTCCCACCACCACCCTCACCTTGCCTCCTTCCAACAATTCTGTCCCAAAACAAAGTCGCCACTGAAGATGGTTAGATTTGGGCAGGTCTAATCCACTAGATCCTGCCTACAAAGCCATTCCTCAACATGAGAACCAAAAAGCACCAGTCATCGCCCAAGCAGCCTTAAGATGGTGTTCAGAAAAGCAGAGCCAGCGGTCCATCCTTTCATTTCTCACTTATTTTATGAGTGAGGACTCTGCACCAGGCACTGGACTAGATCCTGGAGATACAGCTGTAAACAGGACAGACTGGGCCCTGACCTCCCGGGGAAGGCTCACAATTCCACAGAGAACCAGGAGCTGCAATAAGATGAAGGATGCATGATCAGGGCAGCGTGAGGTACGGTGGGTGCATGGCTGGGGCTCTGCCTGGCCAGGGAGCGTGTCCTTTGACGTGTGAGCTGAGACTTGAAGGGAACTTACAAAGATGTCCACTCATCCTGCATTTATCAGACTCATTCTCACTGGAGGACAAATGGCTAGGACCGGCTAAGGGAGAAATATGTACAAGAGCTGGGAGGCAGAGGTGGAGGGGCTCACAGGAGGGGCTCGCTAAGGCTTATGCATCGCCACTCTCCGCTGGGTCACCATGCCATCAGCCACAGCTGGCCTGGCATCACCTCTGGCTTCCATGCATCCTCGTCTTCAGCTTCAGGTGCACCTGCACCTGGGTCAGTCCAAGTGCTGGATCGGGTGTGGGTGCAGCTCTGTAGTGGGGGGCACCAATGTGGTGAGGACAGAGATGGCCACTGTGTCCTCATAGGCTCCACTTTCCCTCTTCTCTCCTCCCCACAACTCACCCTGCTGACCTACAGTAGAGACCTCAGGCCAAACACCTGGATCAAAGGCAACAGCCCTCCACAGGTGTCTTCACCTGCTCCCCTGGGTGGTCCCAAGCAAACACTTGCCTCTGATCCCCACACAGTGTCCTCCCAGATTTGACTTCCCAGCTTCTCCCATGATGGGGCAAGCCTGCATCCCTCTAATCAATCTCTCATTCCTTTAGCTTCATAAGCATTCTGCTTTTCTCTGTCAGAGTCTAACTGATCCAAACATCAATGCGGTGACATTTCAAGAAAGCCTATAGTGTTGTTCCAGATTACAGGACATATAAATATAGTGAATAACATTGGGACCTTTGGTGAAATGTGAATCTGGCCTTTATGTTAGACAACAATATTGGGTGTGGTAAACATATTGTGGTTATGTAAGAGAAAGTCCTTATTCCTAGGAGTTGCTAAAGTATTTAAGGGTGAAGAGCCATAATGTCTACATCTTAATCTCAAACTATTCAGCAAAAAACAGGAATAATATCTATACCTAGAGGGAGAGAAAGCAAAATGCTCATTTATAAATTCACAGGAAAGATATACTATGCTTGCAACTTTTCCAAGGTATGAATTATTTCCCAAAAAAAAAACAAAGAATACAATGGAAAGATGAAAAAGCGTAAGGAGAATGGGAGGTAGACAGAAGCAGGCTGGGAGGAGGTGCTGAAGAGAAGAGCTTGGAACTCCTGAGTCGCCGAGGCTGATCACTCTTGGGGGACAGTCTAGCCTGGACACTCCTAAAGGCTGGGGGAAAGAGCCACACGGTGTCCTCTGGCTCTGGGCCTCAGCCTCCCCACATGTCAACAGCCACCTTCCTAACTTTGTTTGCCCTGCTATTTATAGAGCGATCACTTTTCTACATAAAGCCCCGAAATAGAAGTGTTGAAAGAGCAGCTGGTGCCTCACGGGAACCTAATAAAACGTCTGTTTCCAAACAGGCCTGCTTCTCTCTGTCATAAATATTCTGTAGTTCTTGCACTCTCATTCTGTAATAGCAGGCACATTTGCATAAAAACAGGATTCAGTTTATTAAGAATTTATCCCTTCCCTGCTGTTTACTGCCTGCCTGAAGATTCCCAGGGTCGCACATGACGTGACCCGGGGTAGGGTCACACCTGACTTTAGCCCACAGATGAGGGGTACCCCACAAAAAGAGAGAGTGAATGGGCCGGGCGAGGTAGCTCACACTTATAATCCCAGCAGTTTGGGAGGCTGAGGCGGATGGATCACCTGAGGTCAGGAGTTCAAGACCAGCCTGGTCAACGTGGTGAAACCCCATCTCTACTGAAGATACAAAAATGAGCTGGGCATGGTGGTGGTGAGCGCCTGTAATCCCAGCTACTCAGGAGGCTGAGGCAGGAGAATCACTTGAACCTGGGAGGTGGAGGTTGCAGTGAGCTAAGACGTGCCACTGCACCCCAGCCTGGGCAACGCAGCAAGACTCTGTCTCTAAAAAAAAGACAGAATGAAGGCATAAAGAAGGGTGTGGACATCCGTGGGCTTCTATTCCTCTACTACAGCAAAAAAAAAAAAAAAAAGAAAGAAAAAAAGAAAAGAAAAGAAAAGAAAAACCCATAAAATTTGACACACATACACACACGCCAAGCGAATTAGCTTGCCAGGTCCCTAGGGGAATGTTTGGTGGGGCCTGGAAGGGCAGCCATCACCGGATGGAGAGGCAGACGCCTGAGATGGCCTTTAGGGTCCTCTTGTCCCCTGAGACTTCCTGTCTTTTTTTGGCTTTCAGATTTGTCATTGGATGATGTATTAGTCTTCTAAGACTGTGCTATGGTTTGAATGCACATATCCTCCAAAACTCATGTTGAAACTGAATCCCCAATATGACAGTATTGAGAGGTGGGGACTTTAAGAGGTAATTGGGTCATGAGAGCACTGCCCTCATAAATGGATTAATCCATTTGTGGATTAATGGGTTCATGGGTTATCATGGAAGGGGAACCAGTGGCTTTATGAGAAGCGGAAGAGAGACCTGAGCAAGCCCGCTCGGCCCCCTCACCGTGTGAAGCCCTGCTCTGCTGTGGGGCGCTGCAGAGAAGGCTCTCACCAGATGTGCCCCCTTGACCGTGGACTTCCCAGCCTTCTAAACTGTAAAAAATAAATCCTTTACTTTACAAATTACCTAGTTTCAGGTAATTCAACATAAGTAACAGAAAATGGACTAAGACAGGCTGCTATCACAAATCTATCCCAAGCCGGGTGGCTTAAACAACGGGAATTTCTTTCTCGCAGTCTGGAGGCTGGGGGACCCAAGATCAAGGTGCCAGCTGATTGGGGCCCTGGTGAGGGCTCCCCCTGGCCTGCAGCCAATTGCTTCTCCCCGTGTCCTCACATGGTGGAGAGAGAGAGGAGCGTCGAAGGGCACCAACTCTATCGGATCAGGGCTCACCCTGATGACCTCGCTTAACCTCAGCCACCTCCGTAAAGCTCCAATCTCCAAACACAGTCACATGGAGGGCTGGAGCCTCAACATATGAACTGGGGTTGGTGCAGGGACATAGACAGTCGGTCCATACAAATGACAACACTGCTGTCACTGAGGGCCCCCAAGCCCTCCTTCCGGTCAGAACTGAAGAACGTGCCCTCCTCTCAGCTGCCCTGGGCCCTGTGACCATTCTCCTTGCCAAATGAAGTCTTCGGTGCCACCAATTGCAGTGGGTAAACGGCCTGCCTCCCACTGAGGGGGCCGAAGGGCCGAGACCGGAGGTAGGTAAGATGGAAAATGCCCAGGTCGCTGCCTGCAGAGCAGGTGAGGACCTGTGTGTGATGAGCACGCCTCTCCCAGGGGCCGACCCGGGGAGAACCACCCCTGACCCTCTGGACGACCGGCACTCAAGGGTCCTGCAGGGCCTGCCCCAAGCACTGTGCTTCTCCCGTGCGAATGCCATTAAGTTTTTTGTTCATTGTTACATGCCTAACAATTGGGAATGTTTTACTTGGAAGCGGTGTGTGATTCCCATCATGCTGTACTTCCTTTGTACTGAACAAGTGTTATTTAATGGGGCAGTTTTGATTGTTTTGGAGATAGGCGTCTATTTGGGAAGAGGCGGGGTTTGTGTGAGTTTGATTGTATTGGCCAGCTTCCTCTATTTTTTCTGGGAAATCCTTCTTCCCGTGTGTGTAGATGGCAAGTCTTACAGAACCGCATAACCACGCAGCCTGTGAGACCCTTGCTCTGGACGGCTTTGAGGCGTCCGACCCAGCCTGCAGCTCCAGAGTCCTGGAGGAGGCCACAGAGGGTGGGGGCAGAGGCTAAGTTTGTGGCGCCTGGGAAAGTCACACTTCGGTAAAGCCATCAGTGCAAGCTTGCCTGTCCCTTTCACAGGCCGTATCGAGTTCCAAATGCAATTCCAGAGGCCTCTTGCTTTCTTCTGGGTCAGGCAGGCTTGGGGCCCCTTCCTTCCCGTCCCTGGGCCCCCTCCCCCACACTGAGAGGCCTTTCCTCTCTCAGGGAATGGCAGCTTTCAATTAAAGAATGACCATTGTTCCTTCTGGGGGAAAAGAGGCCCCGTCCCCTCCGTCCTTTCTCATATCCTGTTTCTGGTTTCTAAGACCCTCCACCTCGGGGCCAAGGCTTTTGCACCCACCTGACACTCCTGCGTTTCCTGCTCCTGCCCCCCTTACTCTTGCCCTCCAGCTTCTGGCCTTTCCCTTGCAGGCCTTCCTGGCCACTAAGGCCCCCCACGCCTGGTGCCCTCCATCCTGCACAGCCCTGGCCTCTGATTTACCTGGGCAGCTCTGCCTCCTCTTTCCTCACCTTCATGCTCCATTGGTCTCGGGCACATTTACCCGGGACGTAGCCTGAGAGACACACAGCGAATTCCCCGAACAGAGTCCTTCGCCCTTCCGGGCAGGCATCACTCAGGACGCACACTGCAGACAGCTTGCTACCACCGGGGAGGGAGGTGACTCTCCCCATGTCTTAATGCCCACATGAGCTCCAGGCAGTGTCCTGCCTCACAGACGCATGTGGCCACCGAGTTGCATGCCAGCTGCCCCTCCCTGGAGGAGCCATTTCTTTTGGCTGCTGGGGCCAGGCCTATGTCCTGCCCTCCCCCTGAGGCCCAGGAGCAGTGCTGGCTGGCTTGGAAGCCCAAAGCCAGAACATCCTTCCTATCTTTTGCAGCCAAAAGCTATTTTCTGTTTACCTCTGGAAGTTCACTTCCTTCTGAATACTGAAAAAATTCTACTGGGATCATTGCCCTACACAGAAAAGCAGACAGAGTTGGGAGTTGAACCCAAGAACCTAGAACCCCGCCAAATGCAAGGTAACCTGAGGGCACATCCCTCAGTCCTCGTGCCTCTCTCTTTCTGTGTGGTCTTGCTGTGAAGGAGTGGTGCAGAAACGTTTTAGAAGAAAGCTCTGGACATAGACACACTCCTGTTCTCTGCCTGTCTTATCCCCACTGCTATGGCCAGGAAGAGAGAGAAACATGCTTTGAGGATTTTGCAATTTCATCCTCCTGGGTTTATAAAATGTCTTTTTTTTTTCTTTTGAGACGGAGTTTTGCTCTTGTTGCCCAGGCTGGAGTGCAATGGCATGATCTCAGCTCACTGCAACCTCTGCCTCCCAGGTTCAAGTGATTCTCCTGCCTCAGCCTCCCGAGTAGCTGGGATTACAGGAGCCTGCCACCACGCCCAGCTAATTTTGTATTCTTAGTAGAAATGGGGTTTCACTATGTTGGTCAGGCTGGTCTTGAACTCCTGACCTCAAGTGATCCACCCGCCTTGGCCTCCCAAAGTGCTGGGATTACAGGCGTGAGCCACCACACCTGGCCTAAAATGTCTTAAACCCACATTTGACCCAATTTCACATAAAAATTAGTAGTTTTTCTGATACACAGGCGTACTTGTCAGAGGAGTTAGGTGTTCCCTGCTTCATGTCCCCAGAGACCAAAGCTGCCACCTCTCTCTGGGTCTGACCAGGCTGGGCTCACCACCACCCCACCCAGCCGTTCTTCTTTCTGCTGGACCCTCCTCCAGCTGGCACCACTGGGGGCCCCTCTCCTAGCACCCCACAGCACTTTCCTGCTCAGCCCTCACCACTGCCACTTGCTACTGCCACAGCCACGCCTCCTCCCAGCCCCTTCCATTCATGCAGAGCTCACACAGAACCTCAGTTCCCTCCAGCTTCCCAAAAGGGACAGCCGATCCGGGCACAGTGGTCCATGCCTGTAATCCCAGCACTGTGGGTGGCAGAAGTGGGAGATTGTTTGAGCCCAGGAGTTTGAAACCTGCCAGGGCAACATAGAAGACTTTGTCCCTATTAAAAAATAATGTATAAAAAATCAAAATAAAAGAAGCAGCCAGTGCAGGTCAGGCTACCTCCTTCTGTCCTGGGACCTTGTGCAGAAACAGCCCCCTTCAGCTGAGCGGCTTGGTGGGTGACATTCACTTCTGAATTCTTTGGGAGTCTCTTTACAGATTGGAACCTGGGTAGGTGACGGCATCTCCTCAGGACAGAGCAACACTGGGCAGGTTAGGGAAGCAAGGCAGTGGCCACACTGGCCATCCGAGGCTGTCTTTCACCTTTTTTACCTTCGGAGACTAGATCAGTTTGTATTCAGGGGCCACTGGTCCCTTCCAGCACTATTGAGGACATGCTTATAAGGGTGTGAGCACACACATAGCCCGGGACCCCGCACCTGTGCTCACCCAGGAGCCAGCGGCCTGTATGTTCTTGCCTTCTTTGTTCCAGTTCCTGGGAAAGAAAGTGGGTCCATGACACCTGTGCTCCATCCAGGTCCCAGGGCCTGCTGAGACAACCCAGATTGTGGCTTACACCAGAACCATCTTGCAGTGAGTCTCCACCAAAAAATAAATGCCCACCATGGCTTTTATCTGGTTTCAGGTGAAACAAGAGCATCTACCTCTCAGGGTTGTCGTGAGGATTAAATGAGATGAGGCATTGAACACGCTTAGAGCGTGACACAGTGCAAGACACACAGTGAGTGCCTGTGAGCAAGCACTTAACTAGAATCACTGTTGCACATCCTCAAGGCTGGTGACAGTGCACACAGATTTCAGGACTCAAAACGATAATTCGTGTAAAGCCGTTGTTGTTATCTTTAGGCTGTGACTAGCTGCCAGACTATGAGAGGTGACCCCGAGTGGTTCAGTGGGACCTTAGCCTCTGAATGAATGTCATCATCCAGCTGAGTTCCTGCATCCACCGTTATTAAGTTAGGACATTCTTTTCACGAGCAAATTCCAAAGTAGAATTGTCAGGAGTCGCATAATTAGTGAAGTTTACTGGCACGAATTATTTGTGTCTTTTGAGTGTTGACCCTTGAGTCTCTGGAAGACTTGAAGAGCTAAAAGTTCTACTCTTTCTCCAGATTCAGGTCCCTAGGAGCCCCCACCTGCCTGATCTGTTTCTGTCCTCCTTCTCTTCCACCCAAGGAAGCATGTAAATGTGCCCGGAGTTCCCAGGGCACCTGGCCAAGGCCACTGTCAACATCCACATACCCAAAGAGCATGCACGCGTCTCTGGGGTTCTTTCCTCCCAAAGCCCAGAGCTGTGACTGTTTCCTGCAGACACAGGATTTCAGGTCAACTCAAGCCAGAGGTCAACCAAGTCCCAGGCCAGAAAATGCATTGTCTGGAATGTTCCTTAGAAACAAATGAGTCTCTCTGTGATGCAAGGTTTAGACGGAAGCAGGCAGGTTAACGTGCCATGTGTCAGAAGTTTTCGTCTAGGTTGAGAGATGTCAATGAATGGCCTGGAGATAATGCTCACTGGGCATTTGGGAAAGTTAGCAGGACAGACATAGACTTCTACCAAGTACAGGGTGCAAAGGCCCACGGGTAACTCCTGAGGGGAGGTGGCAGGTGGGATGGGGAAGGGAGACCTCCAGGGAAAGGCTCTCTCAGTACTTACCTGTTTAAACTATTGGTCTTCTCAGTAAAATTTATTTAAACACACAAAGGCTGCCCCTGCATCATGTTTTTCCAAAATTGTCTGGTCCAGTTCCTTTCCCTCAGCGTTGTATTGTCTATTTAGTTTAGTTTTCTCCTCCTTTAATGAGGACTTACCAACTTTTTTTGCTTCAAAATGTCTATAACCAATTACACAGACTTTCATAAGAAAGATTTATCAAAACAGTAGACACACGTTACTGCCTTGGTCCTATAAACAGAAAATCACCCAGGACCATGTATTTGCAGAATGGCTTTCAAACTTAATCTATGGCTTAAAAGCTGAGACAATTATCAAAGGCTGTTAAGTTCACTCCTTAGTTTGAAAAAGCAGAACTAAAGTGGACACCCCTGTGTGTCCAGAGCTGCACCCTCCCCAAGGCAGGGCAAGGCACTCAGGGGCTTCTCCTTCCCTACAGGGCTGATGACCCAAAACACACACTTTGGTTCAACATTGGGAAAACGACAGCCCTATTCCTTTATTGCTTAAGGGAGAAAGAGGCATGTACAGAGGCCCACTGCTAACCCAGACCAGGAATCATTACTGGAAGGAAGAAACACCTGGAATCTATGGTCAAGGTCTTCTGTTTTCCTTCTGTCCATGGGTTTCCCAATCCAAGGGCTCGCCTCCCACTGGAGGCTCTCCTCAGCCAGGGCGATTAATTTCTGTGCCAGCAACATGCAGACAACCTCAAAAAAGGGCCCTTGCTCTCCTTCCATGGTGCTGCCTGCGCTTTCCTTCCAGTGGGGACTTTCCCATCATGCCCATGCTGTTGGAGGTGTGTTGCTGCCCATGCTTTCCCTCCAGTAGGAGCCTTCCCATCATGGCCCGTGTTGTTGGAGGTGATGATGCTGCCCACGCTTTCCCTCCAGTAGGAACTTTCCCATCATGGCCCGTGGTTGTTGGAGGTGATGATGCTGCCCATGCTTTCCCTCCAGTAGGAACTTTCCCATCATGGCCCATGGCTGTTGGAAGTGACGGTGCTGCCCAGAGTTTTCTCTCGCCAACCCCCCCACCTTTTCCCTGAGAGGGTGCCTCCATCCTGCAACTCCAACCACCTGCTGCTTTTGACGGCCAATATCTTCTGCACAAATTTCCCCTGTGAGCACCAAATCCAAATGCCCAACATCCTACTGGACAATAGATTTTCAAACTCAACATTCCCCAACTCAACTCCTCATCCTCCCCCTACTTCTTTCCCAAATGTATTGTTCTTATCTTTCTTCTCTCCCTGACTCCCTGCACGTATTCAACTTACCTACTTTTTTGCTTCAAAATGTCTACTACCAGTTATGTAGATTCCAAGTCCTCTAGATTCAACCTTAGTAAGGTCTTTGCTCCCACCCACTCCTCCATATCCCCACGGTGACAGCACCGTTTCCTGACCTCAGCACCTCCATCTGGCCTTGCAGTGCTCTTCAACCCACCCTGCAGGCTTGCCTTTCTCTGTCCATCCTCAGCAAACCACCAGGGCATCCGTCTAAGACAGGAAGCTCTGATCACCTTATTTTCCAGCTGAAACCCCTCAGTGGCTCTCCCTGGCGGGCCTCCCCCTCATCCTGCCTCCTGCTGGCCCAGGCCCATCTCATTCCTCATCCCCAGCTACACCAATGCCTGACCTTTCCCAAACACACTGCATCGTCTTGCACAAAGTGTCTCTGCCCGCCCTCCCCACCAGCAAATATCTTCTGTCTCTCATGCTTCCATGCACCACCCCCATGAACACATTTCCCCAGCATAGTGCAACGCACCCTTGGTGCACACTGCTCCCTGGGCAAGAATTTTTTTCTCCTTGCCAGCTCAGCTACTGGACTATAAGCTCCTTGCAGGCAGACATTAGGTCTTGATTCTCTTCCTCACATCCCTCGTGTCTAGCATAGTACCTGGTACACAGAGAGTACATAATGAATATTTAGGGAAAGAGGCAAGAGAAGGGAGAGGAGGAGAAAAGAGAAGAACAGAGAAGGAGAAGGAAAGGAAAGAGTCAAAAGACCAACAGAATTGGGTTGTACACTGCCCACATACCTGGGGAGTTAAGATGCGTGTGCACATTGTGTGTGCACATACACACACACGATGCTACGGTCCTTTCAACAACTTAGCATCATAACTCCAAGTGCAGCTCAAGTTGCAAATTGTAAATCTACTTAGAGAGCCACAGCATTTTCCTTGGAAGACATTTACGGAGTATTACTCGGCACATGCCACCGAAGGCCCTCCATGGGTCAGGCCTCGTGCTAGGCACTAGGAAGACAAAAAACGGGTGAGAATTTGTTTTTACCATTGAGAAGCTCAGAGGAAAAATCTGGGCAGCAAACAAATGGGCCAAATCTGGCCAGCAGCTGTTTTTGTAAATAAAGTTTTATTAGAACACAGCCATGCCATTTACTATCAGGCTCTTTGCAGAAGACATCTGCTGGCCTTGCCCTAGGTAGTAGAGGCCTCAAGGCCCTTGGCCTTGTCCACTGCCAACAGCACACAGCCCCTTGCTAAGTGCTCAACAAATGCATCCTCAAGGCTCCAGAAACTCTCTGGAGTCGGGCTCACTGGTGGAGAAGAACTCCTCCTCTTTATCTAATATTAAAATAAGTGTGCATTTTCCTCCAAGCAAATGTGTGCCACCAGAAGAGGCAGCACAATATCCGGCAGCTGTTGGTGACCTCTCTACAGACATGACGGACTCATTTCCGGGACCGGCCCCTTATACAGAGACTTCCATCCAGCATCCTCACAGTGTCTGGCCTGGGCTGTACAAATCCAGAGACCTAGAAACAGAAACTGTGATTCCTCTCGAGAAGTGAGGCTGCTATGTGGCTGGCGTGCACACCACACTGCCAGCTTCGGGCTCTATTGCCTTATCTTAAATTACAAACTCTACCAGAAGAAAATGTCACCCTTCTGCTGGGGTCCGGAAGGCTTTGTGTGTGTTAACAATCATCTTGGAACCTGCGCTCAAGACGACCTCAAGCACACTTTGTTCTTCAGCTCTGGACGTGTCGTGGCCGTCAGGGTGAAGAGAGAGATGAGAACAGAGGCTTGGACAGGACAGCCCTGGCTGACCAGTCAAGTGTAGAAGACACATACATACATTTCCTTTTTTCCTTTTCTTTTTCAACTTTTATTTTAGAGTCAGGGAGTACCTGTGCAGGTTTGTTACAAGGTATATAGCATGATTCTGAGCTTTGGGGTACGATTGGCACCCAGGTAATGGGCATAGCACCCAACAGGTAGTTTTTCAGCCCTTGCCCCTCCTCCCCTGTCCCTGGTCTAGTAGTCCCCGGTGACTATTGTTCCCATCTTTATTCATGATAGCAAAAACACAGAATCAACCCAGTTTCCCATCAATGGTGAATTGGATAAAGATGTGGTTCATATACACCGTGGAATACTACACAGCCATAAAAAAGAATGAAATCAGGTCTTTTGCAGCAACATGGATGTGGCTGGAGGCCATTAACCTAAGCGAATTAATGCAGGAACAGAAAACCAAATATATCATGTTCTCACTTATCAGTGGGAGCTAAACACATACCTTTCGGAAGGCACCAGAACACTGGTTTGTTCCTGCTTTGTCTTGGCACCAACCCACTTGGCCCCTGACTCATCTTTCTCTACAACACTCCTGTTTGCTTTTCTCTACCATGGAGAAGGTATGTCTCAGTGGAAGAACTATGGGAGGTATTCAGCCCAAACATCCTCTAAGACAGTAAAGTGTTAACAGCTTAGAAAGAGCTGCAGACTATTAAAATGTGAGCTGCGTTAGTCAGCTGAACCGAGAATTCTCATCCTGGCCCTTGCTCTTGGAGGGAATGCATGCCTTAGTGCTTACTCAGCTCTTAAACAGGGTTTGTTGTTTTGTGTGTTTTTGTTTCCCGTGACTGTGTGTGTTTGACTTTTTTTAAACTGTGGTTTAAGAAAAAAAAAAAAAGTTGATCAGTAAGTCAAAGTGTCAGAACTGTCTGGGTTGAAGCAGGCACTCATAGGGAAGCAGGAAGACCAGTCTGTAGGTTTAGGGGAGGGGAGCAGAGGAAACAGAATTTTCATTCCACACCAAGCCTGCAAAATCATACAGACAGGAGAGCCCAGACAAAGCTAAATGTCATTTTCTTTATCCTAATTTATTGATTTCTGCTGGCTGTCGGGAGCTCTCGGGGAGGAAGCATGCTGAGTCCATAGCTAATGCTTTTCGTTGTTCTCACAGTTAGTGGGCCCTGGAGCTTGGGGAAGGGGGTGGCATAAGTGCAGGGAAATGGTGACGAGATGCAAAAGAATCATGGTGGCCAGAGCAGAAAATGTGTGCTCACATTTCTCTCTCTGCAGTGTTTCTGAAATGGCCTCTTCATTTACTTGAAAGAGACCTCATGCCAAAAAATGCATAGCATCATCCCCCACCTGCTCAGTCATGCCTTGAATCTCAAGCCCAGAAACGCAACTGCTGCCGGTGGGGGGTGCACCCCAAAAGTCCTCATCCTGAGAACACCTGTTAAAAAGTCCACGATGGCAGAAATCCCTGGTGCTGCATGGAGAATCTCCACTCAGGTGCGTCACCCCCTAGACGTTAGGAAGGTCCGGGGCAGGTGTCCGGTGGGGTCAGGGAGACACGCAGGTTCAAGGTTGTTCTACAACCCTGAGAGAAATGTCTGGGCCTCAGAACGTCAAGAGAGCTGGTTCTTCAGAGTTCTATTTTCCATTCCGCTACTTTGAGAGGGATGTGGGCTTTCATTGTGCTCGTTATTTTCATGAAAACTCATTACAAAACTGAAACCAACATCACAGAACAATGAGGAATCACCAGCCCATTGAACAAGTGCAGAGCGGCACATATGACCACTGCAATGCTTCCTTTCCAAAGCTCTTTTGCTCTTGCGTGGAGTGGCCCCCGCCACGGGCTTTCCCAGGTCACACCTGCTCCACACTTCTCTCCAGGTGCCTCTGTCCCCTGAGGCCTCACCTCGGGCCCGGGTCGCCCTGCACAAACAGCCCCTGGGCGGGCACACAGCACTGACTCTGCTGCAGTCTCCAGGTTCCCGAAGCCAGCTGCCTACTGGACACTGCACCCTTAAAGTCCCACCGATGCATCCCCAACAGGGTCTCCTCCACGGCCCCCCTTCCTGGTGAAGTCTGATCAGCTTCCAGCCACACAGATGTGAAGACTCATTGTCTCCAAGGAGCCCCAGAGTCCGGTTGATTCCCCTTCTGAATGTCTCCTCATTCTGACCTCCTCCTTCTCACACCCACTGCCCTCCACCCAGCCTGGCCTCAGCCCAGAAGGGCCTCCTCTCCAGCCTCCGTCCGGGTCTCTGTCACCTCACCTGTACTCTGCCCTCCACCTCACCTCTACTCTGCCCTCCGCCTCCCTCTGGAAGGCTGCTGTCCTCCTCCGGGGTCCTTCACTGCTCACTGAACCACCTCTCAGTCTGACCTTCAAGGACCCAAATCTACCAACTCACTCTTCTCTTATTCTCTAACACCAACCCTCAACACCATCAGGCTGTCCCCTGCCACTCCATGAATGTCCGTCCCTCATACCTGTGTCCCCACCATCACCTTATTTAAAATGCCTCTCCCTCTGATCTGCCCATTCAACGCCTCATCGAAGCCCAATTCCAGTCCCTCCCTCCCTGTGGCAACCTTGCCTGACTCTGCAACAACTGCAACCCCATCCTTCTCCCTGCCTTTGTGTCCCCATGTTGCTTCATTATAGTGGGATGTCAATAGGCATTAAAAGGTTGCTGTCTCCTCTACTTCCTTGTACCCATTGTCAAAGACCCCCACCGGCTTGTTCGCAAATTCAGAAAAACGTTCCCCTTCCTCAGAACACTACTGCTCAGAGATTGTCGCATTTACCAAGTCTGTTCACATTTATGAACACATTTATGAAGCCTGAGATGAATGGTGGCCCTAGGACTGCTGGTGACAAACCCGCCTGAGCCCAGCCCCCAAGGTGGCAGGATCACTTCCTACCCACTGTGCACACCAACTTCAGGTTCTTCATTTCCCAGCTTTCAAGTAGGCTTTGTCTATCTCTAGCGGAAACAATAAATAGTCTGAAAACCAAAGCACTTTTGATTTGCAAAAGGCAGGCTGCACTGAGAAAGAGATTTCTCTTAGAATTCTGAAGGATGCCTTCACACATCAAGAACCAAGTTAGAGCTTGGGAGTGCAGGTTTATGCCATGACTATGAGGAGCAGAAGTGAACAGAAAAATGTGGGTTGATGTCAGAGAATAGCTATTTATCTACCGGAAAGGAAATGATGGATTACCAATAGGCAAGAAGAAGGGAATCCACAGAGAATATAGCTTAGACACTTGGGACGAAACTGGAAATGTTTCCCCCAGCTCTCCCCCTCCAAACCGTGCCCCTCCCCCAGTGAAAACGCCAGCAGGGGAGGCAACCAGAAGTCTCAGAAACCCCAGGTGGGCTTGGAAGGAACTAATTAGCTTGGGAGAGCTAATATCTCAAAACAGTATTTACCATCTGATGGATTTTCCCTTCATGGGGATGCATCTCCTCACCGACACTGTAAATCAGCTGCCGGGGCAGGCCCGTGGCACAGGTGTGCACACACCTGGCAGCCTCAGCTCTATTCTCTGCTCACCAGAGTCCAGCAGCCAGCACATAATCCCCTTGTTAATACACTGCTCCACTCCTAATAAGAGCAGGGCAGCGTCCCAGGGCCTAAGGTTTACAGAGACTGCTGAAGAAGGGGCAGTTGGGTCCTTCACTCTTTGGTAGGGGAAGCAGGATAAAAGGGGCTGCTAGAATGTATGGCAGCGTGGAGGGCTGAGCAATGATTCAGAGCTGGGGGATCAGGGATGGCTTCATGGAAGAGGTGGAAATTGGCTTGAGTCTAGAAGGGTGAAGAGCGTGTGATATTGTTTCTTCATCGTCCACCTTCCTCAGACCAAGGAGAAAAGGGGACTTGGCCCCGTCAGAGGAGGTCACTGCCTGCTCCCTGCAGGGACAGGCGGGCCTGGCATCTACACCCTAGATTGGGCCCCTAACTCTACTTTGGTTAACTCTCTAACCCAGAAAGCATTCCTTCACCTCTTGAGCCCGTTTTTTTCCTCATAAAATAGGAAGAGTCACGTTGCCTCCCTTGCCAGTTTGCTGTGAGAATTAAGTGAAAGAGCAGAGTTACATTTCATCTGTGCTGACTTCCTTTCGGTTATGGACTGAATGTTTATGCTCCCCACAGCCCAACCAAAATTCCTATGTTGAAAAAAACCCAACTCCAAAGGTAACGAATGGCATTAGGAGGTGGGGCCTTTGGGAGGTGATTAGGTCCTGAGGTTGGAGCCCCTGCAAATGGGATTAGTGCCTTTATCAAAGGGACCCCAGAGAGGAGTCTCATTCTCTTCCCACCATGCAGGGACACAGCTAGAATGTGCCATCTGCAGTCCAGAAGAGGCTCTCACCAGAACCCAACCATGCTGGCACCCTGATTTCAGACCCCCAGTCTCCAGAACTGTGAGGAAGAACTGCGTGTTGTTTATAAGCCACTGGGCTCTGGTACTTTGTTACAGCAGCTGAAGCTAAGACATTTTCCCTCCTTCTTTAATAGGGATGATGGGCAGTAAAAAGCTTAGAGGAATTCAGCTGGACGTGGTGGCTCACACCTGTAATCCCAGCACTCTGGAAGGCCGAGGCAGGCGGATCACGAGGTCAGGAGATCGAGACCATCCTGGCTAACACGGTGAAACCCTGTCTCTACTAAAAATACAAAAAAATTAGCCGGGTGTGGTGGCGGGCGCTTGTAGTTCCAGCTACTCGGGAGGCTGAGGCAGGAGAATGGCGTGAACCCAGGAGGCGGGGCTTGCAGTGAGCCGAGATGGTGCCGCTGCACTCCAGCCTTGGCGACAGAGCAAGACTCTGTCTTAAAAAAAAAAAAAAAAAAAGCTTAGAGGAATTCAATCTTTGACAGACTTTGCATTCTAGGGTGCTGGATCAGGGGGGTCCCTGAAGCCCCTCAGGTCCCCAGTAGGTGATTCCTGACCAATGTCTTGCCAGCCTGGCTAATGTCTCATGTGCCCACAGAGCTTGACCCACCCACTCGGCCCCATGGGTTTGGGGTGGGGCTGCCACACCTCTCCTGGCTGTCCTGGCCAGGCTGGTATCTGGGCCAGTGCCTGGCTCCCCCATGCACAGGTCCAGGTGGAAGCAAGGACCAGTAGTCTGGATGCCAACCCAGGAACCTCCCAGCTCACATCCTCCTTGTCCATGGGGTTGAGGCCAACAGAGCAGCGGCCTTGGCCTCGAAGCAGTATGTTCACAGACACACCCACAACATCCCTCTTAGTTTGATGAACGAAAGTTCTGCTGACTGGGTTTCCTTTCAGGCCGGGAGCTGTCACGTGTTACCTGTCCTCTGTTACAATGTTTCCCATGGTTGGAGCTGGGATTCAGCATCCTGTCCCACCTGTGCCTGTTTGTGATGACTTCACATCATTAGGGGACAAGCCTATGGGATGAAAGGACCCCTTGCTGAGTCCCTCAGCTGGGCTTCTACTTCCTGCCAAAGGGGAACAAGCCTATGGGATGTATCCTTAGGGGACAAGCCTATGGGATGAAAGGACCCCTTGCTGAGTCCCTCAGCTGGGCTTCTACTTCCTGCCAAAGGGGAACAAGGGGAAACTTCCTTCGCAGAGATTGTGGGTCCTCCCTAAGAGCACTGTAGCCTTATCTTTTTTTTTTTTGAGACGGAGTCCCGCTCTGTCGCCCAGGCTGGAGTGCAGTGGCGCGATCTCCGCTCACTGCAAGCTCCGCCTCCCAGGTTCACGCCATTCTCCTGCCTCAGCCTCCTGAGTAGCTGGGACTGCAGGCGCCCGCCACCACGCCCGGCTAATTTTTTTGTATTTTTAGTAGAGAAGGGGTTTCACCCTGTTAGCCTGGATGGTCTCGATCTCCTGACCTTGTTATCCACCCGCTTCAGCCTCCCAAAGTGCTGGGATTACAGGTGTGAGCCACCGCGCCCAGCCCCCTTTTCAAGGTTGCTAACAGCTGGCTACCATTCCAACAAATCAGAAAGGAATATTACAGGAAAGGAAAAGAGAAGTGGTGTGATTGCAATTGTTGGTATAGGTGCCTGTCTTTCTAGGAGTCTGTTTGCAATTGGAGGGAAAGAGATCTGTTTTCCTCACTCTCATATCCCCAACACGCACACAGCCTGGGGAAAAGAGCTGGAGCCCCCTCACATGTATAGTGCCTACCAGCCGGCATGACAGCTCTGTGGAGCTATGCCCTTGTGTGAAGAAAAAGTCACCTCTTTCCTGGTGGAGGCAACCCTCAGAGCACATCCAACAGAGAAGCACAATCTGTATTTCAGCACCCATGCACCTTCCACTCCCCCCACACACTCCACACTCCTGGCTAAGCCAAGCACCTTTGTGCAGTGCCCAACCTGCACATCTGTTCATGGCATCCCTGAATGTAGAATGTGTTTAAAACATGTAGTTAGGTTGAATTCATCAATAGGGAGAGGCTGCAAATGCCAAGTATGCAGCCTAGTCCAAGTGGGTTTTTGCTGATTTGACTTTATACAAGGAATCAGGCTTTTTGGAAACCCCAGTTTCAGACTAAATAATGTGACCACTGTCATTTGAAAGGTTCTTGGTCTGCTCATGGACAGAACCCGAGGGGAAGAAACCTGTCCTGCATCCTAGAGATCCTGAGACTCCTGCCTAGCTTTGTCCAGGAACTCCTACAACAGCCCTGCTCCCATCAGCGTTACGGTGGAAAATAGCAGAAACATGGCTGGAGCCCTCCAGCTGCCCCGCCCCCTCCCCAGTCTACACCGGGGCTCCCAGCGTAGGAGCCAGCACCCAACTCAGCACAGCTTGATGCCCAAGCTCTGCTTCCCCATGGGGGAGACAATTCGCCTGAGAAATATTAACGCCACCTACTTTACAACAGAATGACGATTTAAATGCTGCATGGGTCCAAGGCACAGGGCCTTTATTCTAGATCTCCATCCCCCTCCCTCCAGGGCTCGCATGCTATTCCTGACTCCTAGCAACCCAAAAGGTACAGCCCCAGCGGCACCATAGACGAACGAAACTGTCTGTCCTGTGTCGGGCCCAGTCCACCGACCTGGCTGCAGCCACCTCCTCCTGTGCTGCCCCAGGTGTGTCCTCCTCGTTGGGGGAGAATCGCTCCAAGTCAAGGGTAGACATGGAGCTGTAGTCTCTAAATATGGGAGCCTAGAGGAGTAGAGGAACTCACCTTTAGATCCATGAGAATGCGAGGACAATAGCAGATCCAACTTCGTTCTTCAGCATTCACCTAACATTCGATTTAATTCAACAGATATTTATCATGTGCTTAGGACGTGTCAGGCACTGTTCCTGGGCATTGGGGTACGGGGATGAACAAGCTCTGAATATCTGCCTCTGCAGAGCTTCTAATGTAGTCACATTTCTCTTTCATGGGCATTGATCCCCCAGAGCACGCCACGTCAGCAGGCTCTCACTTGCTATGCCATTCACATTCTGCCTAATCTTCATTGTGCAAAACAGAGAGAGATTGAGTCCAGCCTGGGAGTGACAGTGCCTAATGGGAGAGGCACTGCCACCAGCACAGGACTCATCCCCATGAGGCATGTTGATTTTCCTTTCGTCTTTCTACACATTTCCCCTCTCTCAGTTTTCTTTTCTCTTTCCATACTATTTCCTCTTTGTCTTTCTTCCATCCTCTTTTCTTTCCTGCTCGCCCTTGGGTTCATGGCTCAGCACTATTATTGGCACTGCTGACCCGGCAAAGCACATCCACCTCTGCGATGTTTTCCAAGAGCAGGGGATCAGAGGGATGTCCTTCTGCTGGGGCCAGTGCCTGAGGAAGACCCTGTTGGCCATGGATGGGAACTGATTCTGGGCTTACACCACAGCTCCAAAGGAAAGGGGCCGGGGATGTGTCTACACAGGCCTGACTGACCTGGCAAGAAAGTGACATGCGCACTGACTGGCCCAGAGGAACTCTGATAAGAGGAGATGCCAGGGCTGAAGCTCCTCCCAAATGCTTTCTCCAGGCTCTGTGTGACAACAACTGCCCTTCAGGCTCACTCCACCTCTCATCCGCTGTCCACAGCTCAGGGCCCCAGAGGCTACCATACCCACAGGGGACACTCCTCCAAGATCCTGGGGATGAGGATGAAAATGTCAGCCTCCCCGCCCACGGTCAATGAGGGTCAACATTAAATCAGAACTTTAACTTTGCAGTAGCAGCCACTGGGAGCAATTTTCTAGAAATGTGCTGCTGACCACATTAGCATATCCCAAACTAAATGTAAATGCACATACGCTGAGTTACAGTCTTGGAAACTGAAATCTGTTTTGAGCTATAGAAAATGAAAAAGTGATGTGTGCAAGGAATCTATGCAAAGGAGCCTCAAAGAGGAAGAATGAGTCAGGCTTGCCCCACATAACCAGAGACCATGGCCAGCACCCAAGGGCCAGGCTCTGCCAAGCCAGACAAAGGTCCTTCAGCCAGTGACACTCCAAAATCTCTCAAAAGCGATCCAGAAACCAAGTGTGGTGGTACACACTGTAGGCTCAGCTACTCAGGAGGCTGGGATGGGAATTGGAGGCCACAGTGTACCATGATCACACCTGTGAATGACCACTTCACTCCAGCCTGAGCAACATACTGAGACCCCATCTCTAACAACAACAACAACAACAAAGTGACCCAGGGGTTTGAATCACTAAAAAAAACTAAGGGTATTTTGTGTCCATTTCCTTTTCTTTTTTCTTTTTTTTTTTTAAAGAAGGCTGGAGTGCAGTGATGTGATCACAGCTCACTGCAGTCTCAACCTCCCAGGCTCTCAAGCAATCCTTCTACCTCAGTTTCCTTAGTAGCTAGGACTACAGGCATGGGCCAGCACACCTAGTTAATTTTTTTTATTTTTTTATTTTTATTTTTGAGATGGAATCTCTCTCTGTTGCCCAGGCTGGAGTGCAGTGGCATGATCTCGGCTCACTGCGACCTCAGCCTCCCGGGTTCAAGCGATTCTCCTGCCTCAGCCTCCTGAGTAGCTGGGACTACAGGTGCCTGCCACCACGCCTGGCTAATTTTTTGTATTTTTAGTAGAGATGGGGTTTCACCGTGTTAGCCAGGATGGTCTCGATCTCCTGACCTCGTGATCCACCCACCTCGGCCTCCCAAAGTGCTGAGATTACAGGCATGAGCCACCTCACCTGGCCAATTTTTTTATTTTTATTTTTTGTAAAGCTGGACTCTCACTATGTTGTCCAGGCTGGTCTTGAACTCCTGGGCTCAAGCAATCCTCCTACCCCAGTCTCCCAAAGTGCTGGGATCTCAGGCATGAGCCGCCGTGCCCAGCCCTATTTCTGTTTTTTAACTCAAATAAATTGATTATTTAAATCATCCGCCTCTGAAACAGAACTGTTTAAGAATGTCCTGGTTGTGTGACTGTTTGCAGAAACGAGTGAGCGTACTTGTGACTCAACCACTCACTCCCTGTGACCGTCAGTGGATTTGACCATATACAGTCTTTCATTAAGTTAGTCTTTGTCATATATTGCTTATTTTACTTCCACGGTGGAGCACTGGCTGAAGACAAGAAGCATAAGAACCCTGATGATGAAATACAGGAACTTCACAACAAGCATAAAATGAGCCGCGCACCATGCCTTATGCCTGTAATCTCAGCACTTTGAAAGGCTGAAGTTGGGGGATTGCTTGAGGCCAGAAGTTTGAGACCAGCCTGGGCAACATACTGAGACCCCATCTCTACAAAAAAATTAAAAATAAACTAGCCAGACTGGGCAGCAGAGTGAGATCCTGTTTCTAAAAAAATAAAAATAAATAAATAAATAAAATGGTAATAATTCAGCAAATTTATCTGAAGATTATTTTCACCAGACCCAGAGTTTTTGTACTTCAAAAATGTAAGTTGAAAGAAAAAAATGTATATATTGGTGATTCTATCTAATTTGGCTTTTTATTTATTGGTGACAAAAAAAATCCATATACTATAATGTATTATTTGAAAAGAACAGCTGAAATCTCCTGTCTGATTATGTCCGTTAGAAATAAAATGTCAGGTGGTTCACGCCTGTAATCCCAACACTTTGGGAGGCCAAGGTGGGCGGATCACGAGGTCAGGAGTTGGTTGAAACCCCATCTCAACCAAAATTACAAAAATTAGCCTGGCGTGGTGGATCATGCCTGTAATCCCAGCTACTCGGGAGGCTGAGGCAGGAGAATCGCTTGAACCCAGGAGGGGGAGTTCAAGTGATTTCTTACAGTGAGCCAAGCTCGCACCACTGCACTCCAGCCTGGGTGACAGAGTGAGACTTGGTCTCAAGAAAAATAAAATGTCAGAAATTATAAAAATAGACATATTTAAGTCTCAAATATAAGCATTCCAAATGTCAGGAAAATTAAAACAGTTGCGGATTTTCATGTGTTATAACATATATATGTTACATGTTTTTATATGCTATAACATTATAAAATATATACATTTAGTAAAAAAATCAAACTTTTTTGCTTTTTTTACTTTATTTTTACTTTTTGCCTTTTTTACTTTATAAATCACATTTTTCTTACATATCTCAAATCCACTTAGTGATATGTGTCACTTTAGAGGGAAAAAAGACAAATATCGTGAATATTTTAAAGACTGTCCAAAAATACACTTTCAATACATGAATTAAGAATACACTATTCTTGGCCAGGCATGGTGGCTCATGCCTGTAATCCCAACACTTTGAGATGCCGAGGTGGGAGAATTGCTTGAGCCCAGGAATTCAAGACCAGTCTGAACAACGTAGTGAGACCCTGTCTCTACAAAAAATTTTAAAAATTAGCCGGACATGGTGGCACATGTGTACAGTCCCAGCTACTCAGGAGGCTGAAGTGGGAGGATCGCCTGAGCCTAGGAGTTTGAGGCTGCAGTAAGCTGTGATTGCACCACTGCACTCCAGCCTGGGCAACAGAGTAAGGCCGTGTCTCAAAAGAAACATTTTTTTTTTTTTTTGGTAGATCAGACGGGGTCTTGCTATATTGCTCAGGCTGCCTCAAAAAAAAAAAAAAAAAAAAAAACTCTATAAAATGTTCTACTTAAAATCACTTATTTATCATATATCACTCAAAAGGGAAAAGCATGTTTCTATTTACAGAAAGGTTTAAAAAGTTATACAAGTCAAAATATGGAGAAAACGAACTCCATCGGGATCTGTTGGATCTAATTTCAATTTTTGAGGGTTTTTTTTTGAGAAGTTCTATTGGTAAGGATTCGTATTACTTGATTTTTTTATTTCTTAAAGGGTTTCCAAAGGAAAAAAGTAATTACTTATTTTTCCTAAAAAAATAAGACTCACTCTATATTGCAATTACCATATGCACCCACTGGACCCTTTTATACATCTAAGTTACATCTGAGGAGCTTAGGGTTCTTATTTTTTCCATATCTTGAAACAGTTTTGCTATTTCATCATTACTCATGAATTATTCCAAACTACACTTTTAGAAAAAGAAATGGCAGAATGACCTAGATTAGAAGAATGATGCGATCGTGAGATTAATCATTACACTTTCATCATTCTCAGTTTTCCTATTGCCTTGGCAGAAGTATGGCATCATCTTTGAGAAGGTATGAAGAGGACTAGAGACACCTTCTCTGTAGCCTGCTTTTTGCTTGCACTGAATGCAGTTGAAAATTCAGAATTTTTTACTTTCAGCCTATAATGGCAAAGAGGAAAAAAAGTATAGGAAGATGTTTCACAACTGTTAGATGAATTCGAAGGAGAAAGCCAAAAGATAGCCGGTCTCTAGATACCAATGACGATGATGAAATTGACCGTGTAAGTGAAATCTCAGACTGTACATCTACAGATGGCAATATCCTCGACACATTTCTGAGACTCAAAATTTGATGGATAAATGATATATTTCCATAGACCTAAAGGGAATATGGTGTTCTCATCCAGTTAGCCATTCCACCAGAAGGACTTTATTATGCAATATTCTGTCAACAGGACCTGGACTATGTCATTTGCTAAAAAGATGCCTGGCAGTGTTTTTTCAACTTTTATGATGTTTGTACACTGAGATTTACTTGGGTTTTGTGTTTGTTTGTTTGTTTGTTTGTTTGCTTGCTTGCTTGCTTGTATGCTTTTGTGTTAGAGACAGAGTCTCACTCTGTCACCCAGGCTGGAGTACAGTGGTGCAATCATGGCTCACTGAGACCTCAAACTCCTGGGCCCAAGAGATCTTCCTGCCTCATCCTCCTTTGTAGCTGGAACTTACAGGCATGAGCCATCACACTCAGCTAATTTCTTTCTTTTTTTTTTGGGTAGAGACAGGGTCTCTCTATAGTGCCTGGGCTGGTCTCGAACTCCTGGCCTCAAGTGATCCTCCCACCTCAGCCTCCCAATGTGCTATGACTACAGGCATGAGCCAGTGCACCCAGCCTGAAATTTCCTTGATATGTTTTGTTAAATGAACAGATGTTGAAGGCAAGTGTGTATACAAAGGTCACTGGAAGGAAATAAAAAACTTAGTGGCTTGATCGTCTTAAACGGTGTTTACAAATCTAAAAACGAAAATGCTCTGCAATTATGAAGCAAAGAAGATGGTCATCCTCTCTTTAACAAAACTGTTTTTGAAGGCTTCAAATTTGTTTTATGTATTTTGACAATGCAAGTGCAAGAAGAGGCAGAAGCAATGGTAAGTGTGAAATTTAATTAGAGATGTGTTTGAAATCTGAATCAGTATATCTAAGATGGATGTTCCAGATTCATGCATGACAGCTGATGAGAAGTTAGTTGCCTTTGGAGAGTATTGTTCACTTTGAGTTATATACACCTTCAAAATCAAGAAAACATAGAATTTTAAAAACTGGACTTGGTGTGTTTAAATTCTGGTGTCTGAATTTCTAGCAGAGTTTTTTTTTTTTCACTCTCCTTTCATTTTTATTTCTACAAACTATATGTAAAATGACTGAAAAATATTTTATAGGGTCCATTGCATCTAGATGGTAAAGGGAAATGACTGTTTTCTTTCTGATAAACTGAGGGTTATATAAGCAGAAATTTCCCAAAATGTATTCTGCAGAATATTGTGGTCAAATATGTTTGAGCAATGTTGACTAAAACAGAACAAAATTTTTTTTAACTGCAGGACTTCTCTAAACCTTTAACATACAAGATGTCCAAAATTGGTTTGAACATGGAATCTTTGGGGGCAGGATATTACACAGGACTGGAGACTCCTATAGAACACTTTAAACACGTCTGGAAGGTAAAGAGACAGAAAGCCAAACCATATTACTAGTTAGCTAAGATTAAATTTATGGAGGCTTTTCCCCTTTTTTGGGAAAAAATTAAAGCATTAGAAAACCTGCTCCCTGAGAGAAGCCCTACCAGAGGACCAGGGTGAGAGGGAAGAGAACGGGCTATGATCCCTAAGGGTGTCTGAGGCGGCTCTACTTTAAAAGATAGTTGCAGAGTGAGTCCTTTATTCTCCAAGAGGACTCAAAGAGGAATTACTTTATTAGCTTTCTTTCTTTTTTTTTTTTTCTTTTTTCTTTTTTTTTTTTTTTTGAGACACAGTCTTGCTCTATCGTCCAGGCTGGAGTATAATGGCGCGATCTCAGCTCACCGCAACCTCTGCCTCCCAGGTTCAAGTGATTATCCTGCCTCAGCCTCCCGAGTAGCTGGGACTACAGATGCATGCCACCATGCCCTGCTAATTGTCGTATTTTTAGTAAAGACAGGGTTTCACTATGTTGGCCAATCTGGTCTTGAACTCCTGACCCTGTGATCCACCCGCCTTGGCCTCCCTTTTGGGGATTATAGCTGTGAGCCACCACGCCCAGCCGCTTTCTTTCTAAGAGAAGGAACAAGAAGTAGCCCATTCTCCTAGGGACAGGGGATGTAATCAGACCCTCAGCATGTAAAGGGTTTAGTAGGGCAGGTTGCTACTCACGCCTATAATCCCAACACTTTGGGACGCCGCAGTGGGCAGATCACTTGAGTCAAGGAGTTTGAAACCAGCCTGGGCAACATGCTGAAATCCTGTCTCTACAAAAAAATATAAAAATTAACCAGGCATGGTGGCACACACGCCTACAGTCCCAGCTACCCCAGAGGCCGAGGTGAGAGGATCGCTGGACCCTAGGGGTCAGAGGTTGCAGTGAGCCCAGATCGTGCCACTGCACTCAAGCCTGCATGACAGAGCAGTATCCTGTCTCTAAATAAATAAATAGGGTTTAATAGAAAAACTCGCTGAGCCCTACCAAATCCCCAAGGGTGAAAGGTGGGGGACAGTGGGTGGTGGGAAGAAAGGAAAGCAGTGGTTCTAGATCCTGGACACAGAAATGATTTTAAAAATTATTTTTTAATTTTTTTAATTGACAAATAATAACTGCACATATTTGTAGCGATGGGGTACATAGTGATGTTTCCATACATACAACGTATAGTGATCAAGTCAGTGTAATTAGCATATCCATCATCTCAAACATTCATCATTTCCTTGTGTTGGGAACATTCAATATCCTCCTTCTAGCTGCCGGAAAGCAGGTAGTATTTTATTGTTAACTATAGTCATTCTACACTGATCTAGAGTGCTAGAGCTTAGTCCTGGGCTCCTGCCACCTGGATGTTGCTGAGATGAATGAACAGACCACATATGAGACTAAGAATGCCTTCCCACAAGGTTCTGAAACAGGGATCCAGCCCTGGGCTTGACCTCCCTCACCTCTTCCAGCCACCAGCTCCATCCACCAGCCCTGGCGGCAGCCGGTGCTCCTGCTCTGCCTCCTCCTAGGTCACAAGAGAAGAACTGCCCCTGGCCTGTCGAGGGCTGACAACTCCACTCGTTCCCAGAATCACATCACCACGCTCCTCATGGACACCTCTCCTGCCGCTGTCCTCTCTCCCACATCCCTCTCCAGCACCCGGGCCATTTTCATGCTTCTTTCCAGAGGGAAACTCTCCAAAGAGTTGTGCAGACACCATCACAACCTCCTTGCCACCCATTCTCTCTTCCAATAGCCCCAGTCTAGCTCTTCCTTCACCTCTTCCTAAAATAGTTTCCCAAAGACCTACGTTGAGCCAACGCTGATGCTCACACCACTGTCTTTGTCTCGCTCGAGCCCTCAACAGCATCAGAGTTGATCATCTCGTCTTAGAGATACTTCCTTCGGGTGACTTGCCACCCACCTCTATCTGGTTTTTCTCCTCCCTCCTCCCCATGCTTTCTCAGGATCCTTTGTCTCTTCCGGACCTCTACCTATCACTCAAATGCCCCAGAGCTCTGATATTAGCTCTTCTCTCTTCCACATCTACTCTCTCATCTAGTCCCGAGACTTTAAATGTCACCTATATGTAGATGACTTTCAAATGTTATCCCTGTGTCTGTTTATCCCTGAAGCCCTAGACTGGTCTAGCCCAACTGCCCAGCTCAGCATCTCCATTTAGATTTCAAATACGCAGCTCCAACTTCGCATGACCAAAAAGCGTCTCAATCCCAACTTAGCTCCCTAAGCCTCCTCATCTCAATAAATCATGCCAGCAGCATAGGCCAGAAACCTAAGAGTCAGATTTAACTCCTCTTTCTCATCTCCCAGTCATCCCCCAACATCCAGTCCAAGAGTAAAATCCACAGGGTCTACCTTCCTAGCACATCCTGAAACTGAAAGCTTTTCATCATCTCCCCAGACACTCCTCCAGTCTGAGCAGCAGCATCTCCGACTCGGACCCCTGCCGCATCCAGTCCTAACAGGCCTCCCTGCCACCATCGGTCTTGGCTCCTAGGGTTCACCTCCAGACCACAGCCAGAGTGAGTTTTCTATAGCACTGATTAGATCACATCACTCTTGTATTTGTTTCTTGTGGCTGTCATAACAAAGTACCACAAACCGGGAGGTGAAACAAGAGAAATGTATTCTCAGCATTCGGGAGGCCAGAAGTTCAAGATCAAGATGGCAGCAGGATCCGTTTCTTCTGGAGGCTCCAAGGGAGAACCCATTTCCTGCCTCTCTCCTAGCTTTTGGTGGTTGCTGGGAATCTTTGCCACTCTTTGGCTTGTATCGCCCCAACCCCTACCTCCATCTCCACATTACCCTCTTCTCTGTGTGACTCATTTTCTGTTTCTTACAAAGACATTCTTATTGGATTCAGAGCCCACCTTGATCCAGGATGGATCTTCATCCTTGCCTTCATTACTTCTGCAAATAACCTATTTGCAAATAAGGTCACATTCAGAGTTTCCCAGTGGGCGTGAATTTTGGAGGTCACTATTCAACCCACTCTA
Source organism: Homo sapiens (assembly GCF_000001405.40). Lineage (NCBI taxonomy): Eukaryota > Metazoa > Chordata > Mammalia > Primates > Hominidae > Homo > Homo sapiens. Next base: position 234,941,529 of record NC_000001.11, read on the forward strand.
ACTCCCCCACTTAAAACTTCCCAGTGATTTCCTGTTGTCACAAGAATAAAATCCAAATCCCCATCAGGTCCTGGGGATCTAGCATCTGCCTAGTCCTTCGACCTCATTTCCTTCCACCCTGCTTTCGTTCACCACACTCCAGCTACACTGGCTTCTTTCTCTCCCTTGAGCATGCCAAGGTATTCCCACCTCCAACCCTTTGCACTTGCTATTCCTTCCTCTTGGAACACCATTTCCCCAGACTTGCACATGGCTGCCTCTTCATCATTCAGATCAAAACAAAAAATGCCAGGTCAAGAGAATTTTTCTGACTGTTCTGTTAGCTAAATCTACATATAAATCTACATAGCTAAAGCAACCCCCACTGTTAGTCACTACCTCATTACACTACTTTATCTCCTTTGTGGCAAATAACAGTATCTTAAATCACTGGGTTTATTTGTTGATGAACTTACTAGCTACACCCATAAGAAAGTAAGTGCCTTGCGTGCAGGGCTTTCTAACTGGCTTAGAGCCCTACTATTCACACAGTAGGTGCTTGTGGAAGAAATTTTGGACTGGCCCATTCAAAATCCATGGCATCTGGAGTGCAACTACCGTCACAACGGAAAGTTGCCTTCCTGAAATGCAGAAGCTGGAATGCTAAAAACCACATTTCCCAGGCACCCCTGCAACCAAAGTCCCAGTTGTAATTTAAATTCCTCAAATAACAGGTAGTCATGCAAGACTTGAATTTCGAACTGGGTTCAGAGGAGACAGAAGCCTTGGATGTGAGGCATCTGTTTGGGGGGCACAGATTGTAGCAGCTGTATGGCAGCTTTGCAGTGGGTGGCCAGCTTCCTGGTGGTAGCAGGAGCAGCAGCTCTTAGTGGGCTCACCCATGAACATTCAGCCTAGAACTAGATACCTGTGATGTCATTTAGGGACCACCGAGATAATCCAGAAGAATCTCCCCATCTTAAAATTCTTATCACATCTGCAAAATCCTTTTTTTTTTTTTTTTTTCGAGACAGAGCCTCACTCTGTTGCCCAGGCTGCTGGAGTGCAATGGCACCATGTCAGCTCACTGCAATCTCTACCTCCTGGGCTCAAGTGATCCTCCTGCATCAGCCTCTCAAGTAGTTAGGATTACAGGCATTCATCACCATGCCCACCTAACTTTTTGCATTTTTAGTAGAGACGGGGTTTTGCTATGTTGGCCAGGTGGGTCTCGAACTCCTGGCCTCAAGTGATCCACCCTCCTCAGCCTCCCAAAGTGCTGGGATTACAGGCATAAGTCACCTCACCCAGCCCCGCAAAATTCCTTTTATCCAAATAAGGTAAATGTTTTAGTTTTTCCAGGCTGCTGAAACAAACTACTATAAACTGAGTGGCTTACAAACAACAGAAATTTGTTTATCACAGTTCTGGAGGCTGGGAAGTCCAAGGTCAGGACACTGGCAGAGGTGATATCTGGGTGAGACAGGAGAATAGGGAATTAGGGTAACCAAGGGTTAAGGCATAAGCAAAAGAACAGCAGGTGCAGCCAGTTCTAGGCAAGATTAGGCAGCATACAGGCCACATTTTTACTCCAGTGATAACAAGACAGAAGTTTCCATCTCAGCCTCTGATTGATAGCAGGCCAAGCTTCCACTTCAGCCTCTGATTGGTCACAGGGCAATCCTTCATAAGATGGAACCAACTGGAGACCTCTAAAGGGCACCTAGGGGTGTTACCAAATTATTTCAGCTTAATAAAAACCCGAATTGGGAGGTTCTTGAGTTGCCGGCTCGAGCCTGTTCCCACTCTGTGAAGTGTACTTTCGCTTCAATAATCTGTACTTGTGTTACTTCATTCTTTTGTTGCTTCATTTGTCTTTCATTGCTTCATTCTTTTGCTGCTTTGTTTGTGCATTTTGTTCAACTCTTTGTTCAACACCCCAAGAACCTAGACAACTCACAGTCAAGACCTTCCATCCATTAACATGGGGAGGGCTCGCTTCCTGGTTCATACATAGTGATGGACTTTCTTGCTGTGTCCTCACATGGTGGGAGGGACTAGCTCTGCACTCTCTTTTACAAGGGCACCTCCCAAAGGCCCCACCTCCTATTACCGTCACCTTGGGCATTAGGATTTCAGCAGATGAATTTGGGATAGGACACCAATATTCAGCTGTAATATTTATAGGTTCCAGGAATTAGGACCTGATATTTTGGGGGAGGCAATAATTCAGCTTACTACACTGGCCTTGACCAGAAAACTATGTTCTAAGATCTTTTCCAGCTATTCAAAGGGAATGCCACTGGCGTGCGTGCCCGTCTCCTACCCCACCTCCATTTATTTCTCCCTTGAAGGACTTACCTAATGAGGGAAAGTGAGGAGAAAGGGAAAGAGCAAACATGCAATGGCTGCAGACACTCAGCCAAGGGAACTAGGAAGTGCGTGAGCCAAGCTCTGAACAGGTGTAGACACTCAGCCGAGAGACGAAAACGAATAACCAAATTGCTGGAGCATCAGCCAAGTGTATTCAGCTGCATCTGATAGGCCAAGAGAGGGACAAGTGCTTGGCATGTTCACCTTAGCAGACAGGTGCATTGGGCCTGGTATGCCCTTGGAAAAAGATCCCTTCCCAGGTGAGGGCTGGCTTTCCAGGAAAACTCCAGCCAGCCTCGCCCATTTTTAAGGACAAGGAGGAGGAAGGAGGCAAGAGAGAGAATGAGAATAGGGAAGTAGGAACAGATGGCTTCCTGGACCCGAGAGGCTATTCACCAAAGATCAAAAGAAGTGAAGAGATGAAGGAATTATCTGGATAAATTAAGCAAAAATAAAAAGAGGCAATGGGACTTGGGGACCTTTCCAGCCAGGGCCGGTTGTCTACACTGTTAAGCTCACTAGACAATTGTTCAGACTTTTCTGCACGTGAGAGGGCAACAAAAAACTGACCCCAGGGTAGGTCTAAAAGCCCCCGATTCCTTCTCCCATCTTAGCACCCCTTTGACATTAAGTCAAGCCATTCAACCTGAGTAGAAATAAAATAAGAATATCAAAGTAGTGCCTGCATATAATTAGGCAATACTGACCAAAATAAAGTAGGTTTGATCTCTTTAATGGGTGAATAAAATGCTGACATCAGCACCATGTTGTTTGGCAAAATGTGCAATATTAATTCATTCATTTGATAACTAATAAGTACCTGGGGATATATTGATTAATCAGACATGAATCTTGCTCTCAAGCAGCTTACAGTCTAATAAAAGACATAGAGCATGCTCATAAATAATGCATTTAATCTTATCAATAAACCTGTGAGCTAGTCACCCTGACTCCCACTTTATGGATGAGAAAAACTCAAGTTTGCAGTAAACACCTTGTACAGAGTCATACAGTTAGTGGCAGAGCCTGGATTTGAGCCACATGTCTCACTGCTAAAGCCCATACTTTTTTCACATGACTCTAAGGTTTTCTGAAGAAGAAACCTTTGAATTTTCAAAGCTATATGGGATTTGAACAAGTGGAGATGAAAGAAAGGGCACTTAATGTAGAGAAAAAAGAAGAAGTACAGAGATGCCGTTGTGATATTAATCGACATGGGAAATAAGAAATAGGAAGTTTGTGGATGGAAATTATGAGCTCAACTTTTAAAAATATCTTTGAAGGACTTCTAGGACACGCAGCTAGAAAAAACAGCAGTCATTCAGAAATGCAAAACTGGAACCCCACAGAGAAGCCTAGACCGGATATTTAGATCTGGGTGTCCTCACCCAAAAAAGAATGGTGGAAGCCATGAATCCACTAAGGCACAAAGTCTATGATGAGAAGACGAAAGAAGAGAAAGGGCCAAGAACCTTTGGAAGTTCTACCGTTAGGAAGTAGAAGAAAGGAATGGAAGGTGGAAAAGAATGAGTAGGCAGGAGAGCTGAGAAAGTCAAGCATTCCAGAACACAGGGGAGGAGAAACTTGAGGGATGAAAGCCCGATGAATTCTACAAGGAGAACAAGGAGAATGAGTTTTGATTGGTAAAAGGCACTGGATGGGCAAGTAGGAGGCTTTTGGTGACGTTTAAATAAGAGCATGTGTTTGAGTAATGGAAACAACAAGGATAAATTGCCCCTTCAAAAACTCTGATAACAAAAGGGAGGAAAAAGAAGAAATAAGAACAAGGGACAGATAATTTTTATGGAATAATCCCAGGCTTGTCTGCATAATTTAAAACATTATGGGCTAGGCGTGGTGGCTCACACCTGTAATCCCAACACTTGGGGAGGCCAAGGCAGGTGGATCACAAGGTCAGAAGATCAAGATCATCCTGGCCAACATGGTGAAATGTTGGCCATTTCTTCTAAAAAATACAAAAATTAGCTGGGCATGGCAGTGTGTGCCTGTAGTCCCAGCTACTCAGGAGGCTGAGGCAGGAGAATTGCTTGAACCCGGGAGGCAGAGGCTGCAGTGGGCCGAGATGGTGCCACTGCACCCCAGCCTGGGTGAAACAGCAAGACTCCATCTCGAAAAAAAAAAAAAAAAAAAAAAAAAATATATATATATATATATATATATATATATATATATATATAGCCAGACATGGTGGCTCATGCCTGTAATTCCTGCACTTTGGGAAGTTGAGGTGGGTGAATCACTTGAGGGCAGGAGTTCGAGATCAGCCTGGCCAACATGGGGGAACCCCGTCTTTACTAAAAATGCAAAAAATTAGCAGGGTATAGTGGGGGGCACCTGTATTCCCAGCTTGGGGAGGCTGAGGCAGGAGAATTGCTTGAACCTGGGAGGTGGAGGTTGCAGTGAGCCGAGACCGTGCCACTGCACTCCAGCATGGGTGACAGAGCAAGACACCGCCACAAAAATGAAAAATAAAACATTATAAATTTCCTCTTGCATCTCTTCTTTTTTTATCTTCCCCCTTCACTCTTCTCTATGTAAACTCGTTCTGGCCAAGTGAATCAATCAAGTTGGGAACACTGATTTGAGCAGACTTGTCAATATTACTCTGGGAAAAAAAGGAGTCGATAAACTGTTCTGGCAAGAGTCGTCACCAAAAATAGTACTACATAGGCTTGTGATTGGAAAGAATAGCAAGGTTTAGGAAAACGTGTTTGTTGGTTGTATTTGTTTGTATAGGGGGTAGTTGAACGTGTTTGTAGAAGGCTCTAGTGTTAAACGAGAGATTGAAGATGCGTTATGATTCTAGACAAGTATGGAGAGAAAGGAGACCAAACCACACCTATAAGGGCTGGCTTTAGAGAGAAGAAGGGGCATTTCTTTCCCTGAAATGTCCATGAAATACAAAAGAAAGAAGGCTGACAATGATGTGAAATTAGAGGCAGACAACCATAGCAGCTAGGTAATTCATACCAATCTTCCCAATAAGGACAAACATACAAGCTGCATTAAATATAGGGATTATCTTTCTGGAAGCATCAGATAGCTAACACAAGAGTGAAGAGTTAGCAAGCCAGAGACCAGGAAAAATGGAGGCCCAGGAGGTAAACCCACAGTCTGAAGCCACTCTTCTCCTCATTGTTAGCCAAGGTCAGGTCACACAGCAGAGAGGACGAGAGTCTGAGCAACACTTTACACAGCATCATATGGTTAGAGGATCTGATACTGGGGTCCAGGGCCCACCAAGGTGAGTGTCCCAGGAAAATCCTTATCTTTGGGATGTGACCCTAAAGGACTGTACTGTAGGAGTAAATATTATCCAGAAATAGCCCGGCCTTTGCAGACATTGCAGCTCACCTTCAAATCATTTCAATCCATGAAATTGGATTAAATTAATCTCAGGGTACTCTTGGCCCCAGACTCCTGACAAAAGCAAAGTAAGTCCTCTCTGGAGGAAGATAAGATCATCCTAGGTCTCAAATAATTTCCACAATTAATTTTATAGCTATGCTCACTATAACAGCAAAAATAACTAAATAAGAGGAAAAGATAATAAACATAAAAACCAGCATAACAATGGAAAATAGAACAATGGACACTCAGAGAGTCTCCAGATATTCTAGAAACAGAAATTCTAGAAAGGAAAAAATATTATTATATTTATTATATTATATTATGTTATATTATTATATGTTATATTATATTATATATTATACATTGTATTCATTATTATATTATATTAAATTTAATAAGTCACAGGTGTGTTTTATAACAGATTAGACAAAGCTGAAGTAAATTGGATGTTGGATCAGAAGAAAATATTTGGAATGAAGCATGAAGGAATAAAAGAATGAAAAAGACAAAAAAGTTAAGAGTGATAAATAATAGAGTAAGAATACCTAGTACACATGTTATTGGAATTCTGGAAAGATAGAAGAGAAAATGGGAAAGAAGAAATATTTGAAAAGATAATAACTGAGATTTTTTCCAAAGCAAATTAAACACATAAAGCTACAGATTCAAGAAGTCCATAAAATCTCCAAGAATTATAGGGAAATACACCTAGGTACATTATAGTAAAATTGCTGAAAACCAGAGGAAAAAGAAATATCTTAAAAGAAGCCATAAAATAAAAGACAGATCACTGTCAAAGGAGCAACAATTAGACAGACAGCTGATTTCTCAAGAGAAACAAGGAAATCCAGAAAAATAATGGAATACCCTTAACATACTAAAAGTAAATAACTGCCAACCTAGAATTTTATGCCCTCCAAAAATATCCTTCAAGTATAAAGATGAATTAAAGATAACAAACCAAAACATAATTATTTGTCACTCACAATAAAGGAAATATTAAAGAATATTCTTCAGGCCCAAGGAAAATAGTCCCAGATGGAAAGTCAGAGATGCAAGAAGGAAAGTATTACATTAAAAACAGCAAGTATTAAAATATAGGTAAATATAAATTGAGAGTGACTATACAAAAAATTTAAAATGTTGTTGTATTTGAAATATGTATTTCTCGGCCGGGCACAGTGGCTCATGCCTGTAATCCCGGCACTTTGGGAGGCCGAGGCAGGCAGATCACCTGAGGTCAGGAGTTCGAGACCAGCCTAACCAACATGGAGAAACCCTGTCTCTACTAAAAATACAAAATTAACCAGGCATGGTAGCACATGCCTGTAATTCCAGCTACTCGGGAGGCTGAGGCAAGAGAATCGCTTGAACCCAGGAGTCAGAGGTTGCAGTGAGCCGAGACTGCACCATCGCACTCCAGCCTGGGCAACAAGAGCGAACTCCATCTCAAAAAAAAAAAAAAAAAAAAAAAAAAAAAAAATTGGCCAGGCGCGGTGGCTCACACCTGTAATCCCAGCACTTTTGGAGGCTGAGACGGGCTGATAACGAGGTCAGGAGATCGAGACCATCCTGGCTAACATGGTGAAACCCTGTCTCTACTAAAAATACAAAAAAAAACTAGCAGGGCATGGTGGCAGGCGCCTGTCATCCCAGCTACTCGGGAGGCTGAGGCAGGAGAATGGTGTGAACCCAGGAGGCGGAGCTTGCAGTGAGCCGAGATCACGCCACTGCACTCCAGCCTGGGCGACAGAGCGAGACTCCGCCTCAAAAAATAAATAAATTAATTAATTAAATATATATATATATATATAGCTTAAAATACATGACAATAATAATACAAAATTGGGGACAGGAGTAGAGTTAGGGTGTTTCAGAGTTCTTGAAATGCCTGAAAAGAGCATGAAGCTCTTTTCAATTAATATAAGACAAGAAGGAATACTGTGATCTTGGGGCTTATCACCAAAAGAAGAGTAAAAAGGATATATAATTTCCAAGATAATAGAGGAAGGAAATGGAATATTAAAAAAATAGTCATCCAAAATAAGCAATAAAACGAGAGAAAGATGAACATAGAGTATAACTAGGACAAATAGAAAGCACACAACAACATGGGAGATCTAAATCCAAATATATTAGGGATTAGGCCAGGCACAGTGGCTCACGCCTGTAATCTCAGCACTTGGAAGGCAAAGGCCAGCAGACTGCCTGAGCTCAGGAATTCAAAACCAGCCTGGGCAAGAGGGTGAAACCCCATCTCTACAATAAATACAAAATTAGCCAGGCATGGTGGCACACGCCTGTAGTCCCAGCTGCTTGAGAGGCTGAAGCGGGAAGATCTCTTGGGCCTAGGAGGTCGAGGCTATAGTGAGCCATGTTCACACCACTACACTTGAGCCTGGATGACAAAGCTAAATCCTGTCTCCCCACCAAAAAAGGAAATCGGGAATTACATTAAATATAAATGGACTAAATGGTCCAATTAAAAGACAAAGATTGCCAGATGATTAATGTTTTCAATTGTATAGTGTTTACAGAAGATTACATTAAGGATATAAAATGGGCTGGGCATGGTGGCTCATGCCTGTAATCCTAGCACTTTGTGAGGCTGAGGCGGGTGGATCACTTGAGGCCAGGAGTTCAAGACTAGCCTGGCCAACATGGTGAAACCCCGTCTCTACCAAAAATACAAAAATTAGTCAGGCGTGGTGGCAGGCACCTGTAATCTCAGCTACTCAGGAGGCTGAGGCAGGAGAATTGCTTGAACCCTGGAGGTGGAGGTTGCAGTGAGCTGAAATTGAGGTGAACCAAAAAAAAAAAGCTGGGGGGGATACAAAATGGATAAAAGTAAAGGTATGGAAAATATATACCATACTAATCCAAAAAAGATTGGACTATCTATATTATTAATTATCAAACAAAATAGAATTTAAAGCAGAAAGCATTACTAGAGATAAAGAAGGGGCTGTCTTAATAACAAGATTTTCAATTTCCCAGGAAGTTATAATGTTATGAAATTATTATTATTATTATTATTATTATTATTATTATTATTATTATTTGAGATGGAGTCTCACTCTGTTGCCCAGGCTGGAGTGCGGTGGCACGATCTCGGCTCCTCTACCTCCCAGGTTCAAGCGATTCTCCTGCCCCAGCCTCCCAAGTAGCTGGGATTACAGGCGTGGACCATCAAACCTGGATAATTTTTGTATTTTTGGTAGACAAGAGTTTTACCATGTTGGCCAGGCTGGTCTTGAACTCCTGACCTCAGAGGATCCACCTGCCTCAGCCTCCCAAAGTGCTGGGATTACAGGCATGAGCCACCATGCCCAGCCAATATTATAAAATTATATACACCTAATACCTCAAAATACATGAAGCAAAAAGCAACATATCTACATCTAGACAAATCCACAATCATTATGGTAGAATTTAACACACTTCTGTCAATATTTAACAGAACAAGCAGACAAGTCAGTAAGGATATAAAAGATTCAAACAGCACAGTCAGCAACTATAACCTAATGGACATATATAGAATACTGAGCTCACAACTACAAGTGTACATTATTTTCAAACACACAAGAAACAATTTCAAAAATCAACCATATGCTGAGTCATAAAGCATGTCTTGGCAAATCTCAAATGACTGAAATTATACAAAATACACTTTTTAAATACATTGCAAGTAAGCTAAAAAACCAATAACAAAAATGATGATTAGAAAACTCCCCTTTTTTTTTTTTTTTTTTTTTTGAGATGGAGTCTCACTCTGTTGCCCGGGCTGGAGTGCAGTGGTGCAATCTCGGCTCACTGCAACCTCCGTCTCCCTGGTTCAAGCGATTCTCCTGCCTCAACCTCCCAAGTAGCTGGAATTACAGACACGTGCCACCACGCCCAGCTAACTTTTGTATTTTTAGTAGAGATGCGGTTTCACCATGTTGGTCAGGCCAGTCTTAAACTCCTGACCTCAGGTGATCCACCGGCCTTGGCCTCCCAAAGTGCTGGGATTATAGGCGTGAGCCACTGCGCCCGGCCCCATATATTTGAAAATGCAGATGTACATCTAAATTACCCAAGAAAACAATTGAAATAACATTTTAACATATTTTAATAGAATGATAATAAAAATATTGAATGCTGAAAGTCATGGGATAAGGTTAAAGCTATGATTAGATGAATATTTATAACTATAATTGCATATATTGATTATAGGAAAGGTTTAAAATTAATGAACTAAGCAGTCATCTCAAGAAATTAGAAAAAGTACAGAAAATTAAACCCAAAGAAAGAGAAAAGAAGAATTTAATGCACTAAAAAACAAATATAAAATATGAAATATAGATGGTTCCCAACTTACAGTGGTTCAACTTACGATTTTATCACTCCAATAATATGAAAGCAATATGCATGCAGTATGCTCCTCAACTTACATTGGAATTATGTCCAGATAAACCCATTCTAAGTTGAAAATATCTTAAGTTAAAAACACACTTTAAGTGGGACACAATTTCATTGTAAATGAAGGAGGATCTGTAACAACAAAACCAAAATCTGGACTTTTTGGAAAGAGTAATAAAATTGATTTAAAACCCTAGCAAAATGGCTTGGTGGCTCATGCCTGTAATCCCAGCACTTTGGGAGGCCAAGGCGGGAGGACTGCTTGAGGCCACGAGCTCAAGATCAGCCTAGGCAACATAGTGAGACCCTGTGTCTACAAACAAAAAACAAACAAAAACTAGCAAGATTTATCAAGGGGGCAAAAGAAAGAAAAAGAAGATTAAAATAATCAATGTCAGGCATGATAAAGAGACATCACAACAGAACCATCTTTATTAAAGATCATAAGAAAGTATTATGAATAGTTTTATGCCAAAACATTTTGCAAATTTAGATAAATTGGTGAATCCCTTAAAAAGAAAATTTATCAAAAATGGACACAAGAAAGTATGTAAATCTTAACTAACCCAATAACCATTCAATAAACTGAATTGATAATTTAAACCTTTCCACAAAGAAGACTCCAGGCTCAGAGTAATACCCTCAGAAACACACATATGCCTCCACCAGCACACAAGAGCAAGGATGATCACAGAAGCGTCATTTATAATAGCCCTAGACTGGAAACAACCTAAATGTCCGTCAAGAGTAGAATAGACAGACAAATTATGCCATTTCTTTAATGTAATACTATCCACTGATAAAAACTGCAAACTACACCTACACATGACAACCTGGATGATTTTCACAAGTATAATGTTGAGTAAAAAGTGCGGCGCATGAAAGAATACACACTGTTTAGTTACATTTATATAAAGTTAAAAAAAAAAAAACAGCCTTTAGCATTGAAATGCTAAAGTTTAGTTTAGCCAAAAACTAAATCTTAGCATTTAAAGAGACTTTTTTCCTTTTTTTTAAGATTTTATTTTTTTAGAGCAGTTTTAGGTTCACAGCAAAATTGAACAGAAGGTACAGAGATATCTCATATACCCTCTGCCCCCCACATAGCACAGCCTTCCCCACTGTCAACATCCCCCACCTGGGCTGTGTGTTTGTTACAATCCATGAGCCTACACTGGCACATCGGTATCGCCCAGGATCCATAGTTCACATTAGGGTTCTCTCTTGGTCTTGTACATTCTACAAGTTTTGACAAATGTTTAATGACAGGTGCCCATCATGATAGTATCATACAGAGTAGTTCACTGTGCTAAAAACCCTCTGTGCTGCACTGTTTGATCCCTCCCTCCCCCTAATCCCTGGCAATTACTGATTCTTTTTTTGTGTGTGTGAGACGGAGTCTTGCTCTGTTGCCCAGGCTGGAGTGCAGTGGCGCCATCTTGGCTCACTGAAACCTCCGCCTCTCGAGTTCAAGCGATTCTCCTGCCTCAGCCTCCCGAGTAACTGGGACTACAGGCGCATGCCACCACGCCTAGCTAATTTTTTGAATTTTTAGTAGAGACGGAGTTTCACCGTGTTAGCCAGGATGGCCTGGATCTCCTGACCTCATGGTCCGCCCGCCTCAGCCTCCCCAAGTGCTTGGATTACAGATGTAAGCCACTGCGCCCGGCCAATTACTGATCCTTTTACTGCCTCTGCAGTTTTGCCTTTTCCACAATGACATATAGTTGGAATCACACAGCATATAGTCTTTTCAGACTGTCTTCTTTCACTTAGTAATATGCATTTAAAGTTCTTCCATATCATGTCATGGCTTGATAGCTCATTTCTTTTGAGGACTGAATAATGGTGCATTGCCTGAATGTATCCCAGTTTATTATCTATTCACCTACTAAAGGACATCTTGGTTGCTTTCAAGTTTTTACAGTTATGAATAAAACTGCTATAAACATCTGTTTATATATATATTTAGGTGGTAAAGATAAACAAAGATGCTTTACATAAAAAGTCAGGATAATGGTCGCCTCTGATAGGGAGGGAGGGTAGAGGTGGACGGGGGAATGAAGAGTACGTCCAGGGTGAGGGAGGGCAGAGTTCTAGTTCTCGATCAGGCTGATAATGACACTGGTGTTGACTTTGTGATAAATCACTGAACTGTATATCTTTGGTTTTGGGGGGTTTTTTTTGGTTCTTTTTTGTTTTTCTTTTTTGTTGAGACAGAGTTTCACTCTTATTGCCCAGGCTGGAGTGCAATGCGTGATCTCGCCTCACTGCAACCTCTGTCTCCCAGGTTCAAGTGATTCTCCTGCCTCGGCCTCCTTTTTCTGTACGTACATTCTATTTTACAATTTTTAAAAGTGATGAAAAAAAGAAAAAGAGAGTCAGAAAGGAGGGAAGGAGGACGGAATGGAGAGAGAACAGAGACCTTAGAAGCAGAAAGGCAGAAAGCTGAGGCATTAGAGCACATGTTGTGTGGCCTCAATCTTTTCAATAATGTATGAGGCACAATCTCCCGGAGAGATCAAGGGTCTGAAAGGTCTGGACAAGACTTGCAACAGCTGCATTAGAAATGTGGTGGGCTAGGAGTCTGCTATAGGTCAGGAAAAGGATTGCCGAATAAACTCTACTGAGCATGGGCTGCAAACTCAGATGCCCACGGGGAACAGGCAGGCATCTCATGAATCAGGTTGTCTGGGGAGTGGGAGGAAGCAAGCCCGTTGATTAAAGGCATCTGATTCTCAGTTTGGGGTCCAGGAAGACACTCTCTGTTGTTGCAGAGAAGGTAGCAAAATGGAGTGTATGCCCCATGTCAGAGAAGCCACTGCCTCTCAGCTCCAGCCAGTGGTCCTTCCAGAATGGGTAAAGACCGGGTACCGCCAGCTCTCCATCTCTGCTTGCCGAGCTAAAACTCTGGATTTTCTGGTGACCTCCTATTTCTTAAATGCTCATAACTAAATCAAATTGTTTTAAATATCATTCCGGCCAAAAAAAACCCCATTTGATGCTCCTGATGAGGTCCGTGAGGTCCGAGACCCCTGCATGAACCAGTCAGATCACCATGGAACAAGTCGCCCCAGGGCATGGCTGTCTCCAGCCGCTCTGAGTAGCCAGCGGTGCAGCCAGCTGGTCTCAGATTTGGGCTGTGATGAGTCTGGATGGCAGAAGAACAAGAGGGATGGGAAATTGAGGGAGGGCCTCATTGAAAGGGCTCACTCCAGGAGCCAGAAAACCAGAAGAGCCTAAGGGACCCAGAGCTAGAGTGAGACCAGAGATGCACAGTCCCCATGAGGACAAAGAGCCCAGTGAGGAGAAAGGGAGAGGTAAAAGGATAAAAGAGTCAGAAGGAGTTTCAGAATCTAAGAGCTCCAAAAATAAACCTTTCCCTTTGTATCACTTTTCTCTTTTTACTTTAGTTGCTCTCAACTTGCTGCTTCCTTTTTTTAAAAATTCTAGCAATTCTGCAGGAAACCAGAAGTGTGAACCAAACACAGTAACTCTAGGTGTTATGGCGCTGTCCTGCTCACCCTTCTTTTGGCCTACTGGCTTCAAAGGTAGGCACACACACCGTCCCTTTTCTAATGATCCGGTCGTGGATTCAGGCTCAGTAAGCCAAGACCACAAGCAACAGGGCTTGGGCTCCATCTGCCTCGGCTGCTTGCAGCTGCCTTCCAGGAAGTGCTGGAACAGCAGAAGCAGCTAGCAGTGCGCTCAAGAAGTGGTCAGCAGTTGGGAGCAGCTGGAGGAGGGGAGGCCAGTGAGCAAGTATCAGCTTGGGAAATAGGGTTTCGGCTGAACAAAGTTCACTGCTGTTTTCTGAGAAAGCAGAACCTAGTGGAGCCACCCTAGAGAATAAGGAGAGGAGCAACTGGAACTGAGTGTTGGCTCCAAACTTCCACGGCATGATATGCTTGGCCACCCAATTGTGATCAGGGCCATTGTTGTTCCCCTGGGGGCAGGGGGCAGAGGGCAGGCCGCCGCTCGGAGTAAAAAGGGAAGACAGACAGGCAGTCCAAACACCACCAAATGACAGAGATGCAGACCAAGACAAAAGGAAAAAACAACAGAAGGGATTTTTGTCCTTGAGACGTGCTATGCAAATTCTTTTCAATTAGTTTCCTATTAATGATTCCATCTTGAACATTTAGAGCTGCTCAACCCAGGCAGCATCTACGTTTTGAAGTAGTAAGTTCTCCATTCCTAGCAGAGTCGGAGGAGAAGCTCAGCTGTTATCCACCAGAAATTCTATTAAAAGGATGAAAGGTTGAACTAGATGACTTCTCATTCTGAAGACTGTAATTCAGCAGAACTGACTAATCCCTGGCAAATGATACCCTTTCTGAGTATGCATGTGTCACTGAAAGTCACTCAGACAAACCAGACTATTTGTAAATAGGTCTGATTATCTGCAAATTAGTTGATTGAAGGTTCCCGGGTATCAAGCAGGGCTTATTTTAAGAAATTAAGTTAATTTAGATAATAGCTGTGTTGAAAAGCAACAAGTTCAAAAACAATTAAAAAGAATGCAGCTTCCCTTTTATTTTTTTCAACTCTATATTTTCTTTTCAAATTGCTTCTAATAGACCATCTGTTAAGAAAGCCTCTTTTGACCGGGTGCAATGGCTCACACCTGTAATCCCAGCACTTTGGGAGGCCGAGGCAGGTGGATCACCTGAGGTCATGAGTTCAAGATAGCCTGAGCAACATGGTGAAACCCCGTTTCTACTAAAAACACAGAAATTAGCTGGGCGTCGTGGCACGCGCCTATAAACCCAGCTACTCTGGAGGCTGAGGCACAAGAATTGCTTGAACCCGGGAGGCAGAGGTTGCAGTGAGCTGAGATAGCACCATTACACTCCAGCCTGAGAGACAGAGCAAGACTCCATCTCAAAAATAAAAAAAAGAAAGGCTCTTTCGTAAATTACTTAAATATGCTTAGAAGTCATTATTACTTTTTAAGTCAATAGAAGTCTTTTTAGTTTATCTAATAGCATATTAATTCCTATGCTTTATGTGTTTGTACCCACACAACACCCAGCCCTGCACCTAACACATAACAGGTGCTCAATAGATGTTCATTGAATAAATTGGTTGCAAAAACCGAGTGTATACATTGAACATTTCTGCATATTGGTGATAATAATAGTATTTTGAACACTTGTTCTATGCCAGTGACTGGGTCAAATAAACACTCAACCTCATAGTAATATCTGCGAAGTGATTGCTACATTAGCCCCATTTTACAGATGATGCAACTGAGGCTGGTGAGAGGCAGAGCCAGGATTCAAGGCCAGGCCTGTCCAACTCCCGAGCCGAAGCTCTCAGCGAGGGTATCAAACTGAATCTGAATCCTCTTAGTTTATCTATTTTAAAGTGCTGCATGTGGTATGTTCAGGAGACGAAAACTCTCTGATGAGGCACGTGTGGATGGGATGGCAGGGCTGAGAAGGCCGGCTCCCCCACGGGGTGTGCACAACCTACCTCCCCAGCTGTTTCTGCTACCGGCTGGGGCCTTCAACTCCACCGCCTCCCCTCCCCCAGGCCCTAAATCACTCTCAGGCCTTTTGTTCTTCCCCACAGCTGCTCAGCAAATTCCTTGATTTGAAATTACGATCACAGGTTGGAGTGCTACTTAAAATAATTTTGCCAAATGTTCCATCTCTCTGTGTTGATGAATATAATGGATGACAATTTAAAGAGCAAAAAAAAAGTAAGTATTCACTTTGTTGAAGACAAAAAAAAAAAAATCATAAGCTGCATGCATAGCATTAGTTTGGCTCTGAAAGATTCATTCCCCCAGGAAGCTAGCCAAATGCTGGACTTTTGTGAACCGCAGCATGGCCGGGAGAGCAGGCTGCTGGCAGGTATGGCCTGCAATAGAGGGAGAGAGCAAAGGTCAGGGCATGTGTTGGGTTTGTTTAAGCATGAGTCAGAGGAGTGGGGGTAGACCTGGGGATCCAATTTCCAATTTCCTGTGCAAGTCACTGAGCCACACTTCTCCCCTTCCCCAAAAGCTTTTTATGCGTACCGCTCTGCAGAACAAAGGGAGATATGGTAGGGGGACACATAAATAACAGGGACAGGCCGGTCTTCTTGAAGGTGGAGCCTCTCTTGAATTTGGAAAATGCAAGCTCTGAGGGAAGCGGGGATGAAAGCAGACCACACGCATCTAGCACTTTGGCCAACTGAGGCTTCCTGGGCTTGGAGGTCCTCACCCGGGGCTCTTAGCGCAGCCTGAGCCCAGTGTGAAGCCATGGGCCAGCCCTTCCTGCAGGCGGGCCCTGTGGCCAGGCTCAGCTCAGGCGAGGGGTGGCTGGGCCATGAGGAATCAGAACAAAGCTTCTTCCTTCACACCCGGTCCTGCTCAGCAGGTGGACTCCACGTTAGACATTTCCCCCACGTCCTAAGGCTTCTTCCAGGCTTGAGCCCTGAAAAGCAGGTGGGGAGAGATGAGCAAATGCTGAGCAAAAAAGAGGTGGTGGTGACGCCTCTCTAAAGTTTTCCATACCAAAAAAGCCCTGGTACAAGGCAGGCACTGCTGGCAGCCCGGCCCCACAAGCTTACTTCCAGTGCAGGAATCCAATGGGAACATGTGCCCCCAGGGCCACCCGAAACGCAAACTGCTCTCTGAAAACCAGGTCAGCCTCTCTGTAGGAGTCTTGCCATGCAGAAAACACCAGGCCCTCTGGAAACGCCCCCTGTTCACTGAGGGTCTCTGGCTGGCCGGCACTATGCCCAGCAAGGCCACCTCCCGTAAGTGACACGCCAGGGTCTTGCTGAATCACAATAAGCTGGGAGCTCTGTGCACCCCCCAAAATGATCTTCCACACAATGAAAAGCACTCGAAAGAAATGGTTACAGCTGCTGGGGGCACCGTCAGCCTTTGAGGGCAGTGAGGTGCCAGGGTGGCAGCCTCTGGGGCAAACAAGTCCCAGATCCACCGCTTCCCAGCTGTGGAAGTTTCCTGCCCCTTTCTGGGCCTCAATTTCCTCGTCTGTGAAATGGGCATAACCGTGTCACTTCACCAGGGGGTTGTAATGGGTAAATGCCCCTGCTCTGTGGATAAGCAGGGGTCTTTTGAGCTATTTCCACCAGAAATGGCAGAAGCACGGCAGGGCAGGAGAAGCACCTGTCTGCGGGTCAGGACAGAAGGCAAAGGTGTCTTTACACACAGAATATGCTACAGTTCTTTGTCACGCCCTCAACCTCCAGGACTGTCTGCTTGGCTGTACAGTCTGCTTACCATATTCCCTCCAAAGTAGGGCCCCAGCCCCGCCCAGCCCCTCATGGACTCCACTCCAGACCCTCCTCCCAGACAGCCGGGGAAGAGAGGCAGAGCCTGCGGTGTTCCCCTCACTGAGCTGCGGCAGTTCCCCTCTCTTCCTTTCTCTCAGGTGACTCTTTTGACCCCCAAGGATCCCTGAACACTCATGTGCTGTCTCCAGCCTCTCTTGCTTGGAAGAGGAAAGAAATATCTCGGGTTCCTTTGTCTTCGGGCCACACTAGCTCCTCCCTACCCCACTTACTCAGGACACACCAGGAGGGTGCAGAAGGACTGGCTGCCCAACGGAAGGAGATTTTATCACTGATATTGCTTGAACTTACTGGTGTGTGGCAATTAAAATGGTTTAAAAGCAGTCTCACTTGGAGCTGGATTGATTCTTGTCTTTAAACTCTCTAGGGACGATGCCGTCCTCACTGCCAGCCCCCAAGGCACACCCATCCCCGTACCCTCCTTGCTACTGCTCATCCAGGACCCCATCTTTACGGGCCTCCCAAGTCATAGGCGGTCACTCTCTTCTCTCCTTGGATGCCCTTAACACAGAAAATGATCTGCGCCCTAGTTACCGCCTCTCCTACAGGAGCCCTCGGGAGACAGGCTTGTCGGGAATCCTCAAAAAGGGTGCTCTCCCTCTCCCCGGAAGCTCTTCTTGGGCCCTTTGGGAAAGCAAAGAAATAACCCGTCCTCCAAATCCCCATGGGCATAAGAGGAGGGTCTTTGATGCCTCATTTTTCTTCTTGTGTTTTTATTTTCCCTTTTTGCAGATCTCTGCATTTAATGAGGAAGTGCTGTCAGCAGAAAGGAGAGGAAGCTTCACCCCGACCATCCGCAGGACCCACATCCCTCTCAGCGGGAAGGCAGAATCATTCATCTATTGCTCTCCTTGAAGGGCAGCTCCAGACACTCACGTGGACACAAGTAGGAAAAGCACAGAGTGTGTCATCACACTGTGTACCTCATACAGGTGACGTCCTGGAGAAACCTCTGGAAAAACAGAAATTTTATGACCCACAATTAAAATGATTTAAGTAATAAATAACCCTGATAGCTTGCCCCACCAAGTGTATGCTATGTTCCACACCCCAGGCCCCTCCACATCCATCTCCTTGCCGAGCCCTCTAACAACCTTACAAGGGAGAGACTTTTTACCCTCACTTCCCAGAGGAGGACACTGAGGCCAAAGAAGGGAAGGGATTCCCCAGGTGACACCGTAAGTGACAGAGTCAAGACCCACATGGCCTGGCTGAAGTCAAGGTCACCCTAATTCCTCACACAGCCCCACCAGAGGTTCCCACAGTGCTGTGTGCCAGCCAGGTGATAAGGCCTTTCCACAAAGGACATCAAAATACCTCAACAGGCTGGACGCGGTGGCTCACATCTGTAATCCCGACACTTTGGGAGGCCGAAGCAGGCGGATCACCTGAGGTCAGGAGTTCAAGGCCAGCCTGGCCAACATGGCAAAACCCCATCTCTACTAAAAATACAAAAAATTAGCCAGGCATGGTGGTGGATGCCTGTAATCCCAGCTACTCGGGAGGCTGAGGCAGGAGAATCGCTTGAACCCGGGAGGCAGAGGTTGCAGTGAGCCAAGATCGTGCCATTACACTCCAGCCTGGGTGACAGAACGAGACTCCATCTCAAAAAAAAAACAAAAAAAACCTCATCATCAGTAGAGAACTGTCACCTTCCTAAACGAGGAAACTGACACTTTTAAAAGCAAACAGATTTCTGAACTTGGGGTTAATGATAAAACTGGAAAAACATAAAAGACTCCCTGTTCCTCTCCTCCATTATCAATATGTGCCTTAGATTTGGATGCCAAGTCAAATCTCACCAGAACTATATCCTCCATGGTAACTTATTAAAGAGTCAATCAAAGTTTGCTTTAAGAGAAAAGTAAATACACCCAACTTTCCATACAATGCCGGACCCCGAGTTCACTTCCTGGTTTCACTGTTGACTCAGGTTGCAATCCTAGATAAGTAACTACACATGCTCACTGCCCTGGGCCCAAAGCTGGGGCGAGAGCCTGGAATCAGCGCACCCCCAAGAATTCCGGAACATGGGAAGATGCCCATCTTTCATGGAGGGGGCATGCCTCGAAGAGGAAAATCAGGCAAAAGGCCGTGTGCAAAGCTCCACGTGCAGGTGCAAGCTGCTTGTCCCTGAGTCTCTGATTGCGAGGAAAGGGGTCACCCGCTGGTCGCACCACCAACAAAGCCCTGCCATCCTTTGGCTCTGCGCTCACCCATAATTACTGGGCGTGAGGTGGGAAGGGCCGCCCTTTGGGACTCAGGTGGTGGGGAGGCTGCAGAACAGAGTCGGCAAGTCAACTCCAATCACAGTAAGCATTTTCAAAGAAACACATAAAAATAGCCAGAAGTGGGTCAGCACTTCCAGTGAGGTTAGAGACAGGAAATTGGGACAGACTCCCGGTCCTGTGTAGAGAGATAAAAGTTTTATTTCATAAGTACAAACTCATACTCTTTCCAATCTGATTCCTCGTTTCTTTTCTTTTGCTTTTTCATCTCCTCTGTCTTTTGGATACACAGGAAACACACACACACAGCTAACAAAAACAGTGTGATGTTGGAATCTTGCTCCTTCAGTTCTAAGGTCCTCTTTTTCCTGAAGCTGAAGAAAAAAGATACTTAAAGAAAACTTACTTGAGAGTCAGGCAGGAAGGGGAGATGGGATACACACTTTCCCTATCTTTCAGGTTTCTGCAATCTCAGCGCATGCTGCTTAAGAGGAAAAGAGCAGCAAAGCAGATGAAAAGCACTGCATCCTTAAGTGATTTACCTGTTCCCAAGCAGGCCTGCCTCACACCTGCCTCCCCCCAGTTCCCTGTCATTGACCCTCCCGCCACCATATCTGTGGCATCTGGTGTGCTGCACACACAGTATATGTGTGCAAGTGCATGGTATATACACATAGCACACATGCATACATGCTATAAACACATGCCCATATATAGGCTCAGTGCACAGGTACGCACAGTGCTCAGGTACACAGAGTACACACACCTGCTAGCCACATACACTCTCAGTGTACACACATGGTGCTCATGCACACATGGTAGTGCATGGTGAATCCACATAGCATCCATGCACACACACAGTACCCACACACACACGCGGTACATACACATGGCACCCCTGCACATACACAGTAGACATGCGTAACCCAGAAAGTGGTTCTTGCTCTCTCTGCAACCTTAAGACTTTGGCAGTTTTTGTTAACTCCCACACTTGGCAGGATTACATTTCCTTGTGGCCTCAATGACGTGATAGGGCAGATTTATTGGGCTTACAGAAAAAAAGAGAGAGGAGAGAGAGCGAGAGAGCGAACAGTAAACTCTGCTGTGCAGTCAACCTGGACCTTGGTTTTAAGTTGCACATCATCAGGGCCAAGAGAGAAGATTTGGCAACATGGGGTGGTTTGGTGAGAGTCGGCATGTTTCACTGGTAATCTGCTGGAGCACTAAAATATATACATCCAAAGGTTACCTTCTTTCAATTCACTGAAAAATAAAAGGAGCTTCAAGGCTGGACCAAATAACACACATAAATAACTCATGCATGCCTGCATGCATAGATGCAAACATACATACCCAAGATGTGTAGCAAACAAAACAGGCACAGTGCTTTCAGGAGAAACTTGGGTGTGGAAGTAAGTTCTACCTTTTTGCTCTATTTTCCTCCTGGAGGGAGAGAGGAAAAGCAGCTGCCTAAATGCTCAGTCAGCCCACAAGCTGTCATGCGTGACTATCTCCAGGGCAGACAGGAGAGCAGGAACCCCTTTCTGAAGCTGAGTTCTGATGCAGAATGTTTTCAGGGCTTAAGACAGCCCCCACACAGCTAGCCAACAGAACTTTCTGGGCTGCGGTCAGTTAGCTATGTCGCACAGGAATGGCATCTGCTTTCACTTATTTCAGAACTCAAGCATAAGTCCTGGGAGTATTTGACCAAAAGAGCCTCCCGCTTGGCGTGCGAGGGTTAGGTTTCCAGAAGATGTAGCACGTACCTGCGCTTTCAACTCCCAGAAGCCAAAGCTATGGAAAGATCTCAGCGTGTTTTTTTTTTAATTTTATTTTAAAATCATACCGTTTTAAAAGTTCTGCTTGTTATAAATCCAGCCTGAAAGCAGATGAATGAAACATAGACCCACACAAAAAAAATCTACAAGAATAGATCTTTTTTTTTTTTAACTTGGGGTTTTTGAGGAGGGATTTTAGAGGAGTGGCGGGGAAGCTACTCAGTCGAGATAAACTCCTTAAAAGCATGGGCAAAATTCCCTTTTCTGTGACCAGTTTTTTTAAAAATGACAAAGTCACACAAGAGAGGAAATGAAAAGGGAAATTTTTAGACTTCTCATCTGTGCTGAAAGCCCCGGGCTGTTTCAGAACCCGGTCAGGGTAACCGTCAGGCCTGCGGTCACCGCGCTGCAATCCCAGGAGGCCTTGCGTCAGCGGCCATTATATCAATAAGGAAGTACAATCACCAAACCACAAGCCGGCTTCTTTTCTAAGCCCACATGTTGCTTTAGAGGGTTTTCAAACAAGAGACTTTCCTGTTTTTGAAACCTGTGAATCCACAGGTCTTACAGGTTACTCAAATTATCTTATCACTTGCAGCATGAATTTCAAAACTGCTTACTCCAGCCTTCCCCTCCCCTGGAGGAACAGACGTCCATTTACAAACCAGAATCCTTATTTACAGTGTCCCGTTGCCAATTGCTGACACAGAAGGGGGAAAAAATACCAGTTATACATTAAGCTTTAAGGTTAAAGTATCTGTGCCAGACGCTGTCCAAACACCATCTATTCACTGACCTGAAGGCAGGATGACCACACCGGAGAAAATTCTACAGAAACAGTTTTGCGGTCACAGCAGTATTCCTTCACAGAGCCAGGCTATGTTTCCTGCAGATGCATACACATGCTTGCAAATGTACTGTAAGAAATCATCACAATTCACAGGAAACATATTTATCCTAAGATGTGTAGCAAATCTGTTGGAAATTTTTAAGCACAGCCAAAAGACATCCCAAACCACCTATGAGGTTGCTTCCCAGGTTGCTGGAAAAATCAACGTAGGATAGCATCGGTAGAGGACGCTACCGCGGCGCAGGTGAAAGATGTAAACAGTGCAATCTAAATCTTCAATGGGATGCAAGTCAGACTTATTTTTCTCTTGAGCAAATAAAAAGATTCAGATTAAAGAGTGCCTTATAGAACTGGTACAGAGTTCTACATAGAACTGATATAGAGTTCATCTAATAAGAGTGTCTTATAGATGAGATAAATCCATAAACAAACGTCTCTCTTTCCTGCTCAGCTCAGCAGCTTGAGAAAGATGTGCCACACCTAACAACTGCATTTGACAGCCATCTCCTGGTTTAACTTCTACCCTGGCCAGCGGCCACTTAGCGTTGCCCCAGCAATGCCTGCAGACTTCATCACGCGCTCCCTCGCTGGAAGCGTCCCTCCTAAGGCAGACCTGAAGTTCACAGAGGGCTTCTGGACAGTAGTTCACATTCTGTTTTCAATGGTGGCCTAATCAGACTGAGAATAAACAACAAGTGAACTTTATCCTGCAGCTACAACCAGTGAACTCTAAGCCCATTTCACAGAATGCACACAGCAATAATGGATCTAGCAGACACTTATCTAATCTCACACTTTCCGTCTTTTTGGGTTATAATCAACACTTAGCTCATCAACACACACACACACACACACACGCACATCTTCCAAAAAAGAACCTGCTCTCAGTTTAAGCACACTGAGATTTTATTTATCTTATTTTATTTGTCTGCATTCCAATAAACCTTCTAACATTGAAATGTTGAGACAGACACTCTAAAGTCAGGATGCTGTGATGTTTATGTTTGAGGGAGGGTTCTTTCAAAGTAGCCAAAATTGTCTCTCTTAGGAAATGTGAAGTGTGAATGAAGCCACACCAAAAAGTCTCAGAAGTAAATCTCTCAAAGATTATGACCAGCCTGTTGTGGAATAACGCAATATATCCTTAGAGGAAAATACAATAAAGTAAGAGAATTCCAGGCTTCCTACACAGGCCCAGTAGGTATTTTTTATCTTAATAACTCGTTGGTAAATGGCCTACTATGTCCATAGGAAAAGCATCCTCTTCTTCAACTGTGTTTTAAAAAGAATAACTTCTTCTTTCCTCCTTTGGAAAAGCCATTGCTCCAAAATTCACATAAAACAAATACAGACTGGTTTTCTGTTCCTTTCACTTTCTGTCCCTATCACTTTAGGCTGTGGTAACCAGGACTTCTAGGCCTAAATATGCTTGCCTGATTTTGCCTGAGTTTGCTGGAGAATTGCTCAACCACCCTCTCACTTTGGCTGTGTAGACCATAGCTCTTGCCCTCCCTCCAGGGGAGAGGCATTAACTAATGAAGAAAACAGTGACTCCCCTCTTCTGCCACCACTGACACTCCATACCCAGGCCTGTGCCACCAGGCCTGCTTCCAGGACTGTGGGCTGCCTGTTCCCTGCTATCCTGAGCCTTCCAGCTCCAGTGCCAACAAGGGCACTAGGTAATGGGTACTTCTGATGAAGGACACTGCATGAGATCTTCCCATCACTTAGAGAAGTGTTCCATTTGGGGTCATTACCAACCCTGTCTACTCAGACCAGCAAAGCATAGAGAAAAATAGGATGGATAGGCAAGTATAAGGCATCACCTTATATCTGTGTCTTAAAAAGCTCTTTATATTACAGAATTTCTTTATTTGGAACAACAAAATACTCTGAAGGGAATCTCATGAATTTTAGTTTGGAACGTTTATAGAGGTTGTCTGGAAGAATAGTTTTTGTTGATTTGGTTTTTTAATACAAAGAAAAATAAAAGCTTTTGTAGTTATTCTTGAAGGTATGACCTCCAATTACAAGCATGAGAGATATTGTAAGCAAGTCCTTTTCTTTTCTTTTTTTTTTTTTTTTAAGAGACAAGGTCTCACCATGTTGCCCAGGCTGGTCTCAAACTCCTGTACTCAAGCAATCTGCCCACCTCAGCCTCGCAAAGTGCTGGGATTATAGGTGTGAGCCACTACACCCAGCCTGTAAGCCAGTCTTTTAAAGCTCATTTTAAACTTTTTTTTTCTTTTTTGGGACAGGGTCTTGCTCTGTCATCTAGGCTGGACTACAGTGGCACAATCTCAGCACACTGCAACCTCCATCATCTCCAAAGTTCAAGCAATTCTCGTGCCTCAGCCTCCCGAGTAGCTGGGATTACAGGTGCCCACCACCATGCCTGTCTAATGTTTGTATTTTCAGTAGAGACAGGGTTTCACCATGTTGGCCAGGATGGTCTAGAACTGCTGACCTCAAGTGATCCACCTGCCTCAGCCTCCTAAAGTGCTGGGATTACAGGCGTGAGCCACGAGGCCCAGCCCATTTTAAACTTTTATTATGACAATGTTTATTTTATATTTTAAAATTTTATTATGACAAAAGGAGCATATAGCACAGTGACTCTCCATATAACTGTCACTCGATTAACAATTACTCGATTTTTTGATGTTTGCTTCATTTATTGTGTTTTACTTTTTTTCTCTTTGCTGAAATCTTTTAAAGAGCATCGCAGGCCTCATGCCATTTCACTCCTTCCTACTTTAGTATGCACCTCTAAAATGCATGAATATTTCCTTACATAGCCCCATGAAGATCCCTTTTAAAAGCAATACAAGAAGTCAGCTTTGTGGAGATGGCAAATAGCACATGGCTATGAAGGCTTGAGATAACATTTCCAGTGAGCATAGCATACAGACTCAAAAAGTCCGAAATCTCAAAGGCAGTTGGACAGAAGCAAGATGAAGTATTC
Source organism: Homo sapiens (assembly GCF_000001405.40). Taxonomy (NCBI): domain Eukaryota; kingdom Metazoa; phylum Chordata; class Mammalia; order Primates; family Hominidae; genus Homo; species Homo sapiens. The sequence goes on from NC_000001.11 coordinate 234,966,786, forward strand.
TGGAAGATTGAGTCAGATCATTCAAAAAGGGACACAAGGCTGAGCATGGTGGCTCATGCCTGTAATCCCAACACTTTGGGAGACCGTGGCAGGCAGATTGCCTGAGATCAGGAGCTCAAGACCCAGCCTGGCCAACATGGTGAAACCCCGTCTCCACTAAAAATACAAAAATAAGCCGGGTGTGGCGGCACACGCCCATAATCCCAGCTACTTGGGAGGCTGAGGCAGGAGAATCACTCGAACCTGGGAGGCAGAGGTTGTAGTGAACCGAGGTTGTGCCACTGCACTCCAGCCTGGGTGACAGAGCGAGAGTCCATCTCAAAAAAAAAAAGATGGGGGGCACAAGTGATGACAAAGACTGTTGATAAATAGTCTGAATAATGAGTAACAAAAAAGCAAGATTCCTAAATAAGTATATTTATGCATGTGATTCTAAATATAACTGGCCAGCCGCGGTGTCTCACGCCTGTAATCCTAGCGCTTTGGGAGGTCCAGGCAGGCGAATCACTTGAGGTCAAGAGTTCCAGACCAGCCTGGCCAACATGGTGACCTGTCTCTACTAACAATACAAAAATTAGTCAGGCGGGGTGGCACGTGCCTGTAGTCCCAGCTACTCCGGAGGCTGAGGCAGGAGAATCGTTTGAACCTGGAAATGGAGGTTGCAACGAGCCAAGATCGCACCACTGCACTCCAGCTTCGGTGACAGAGCAAGATTCTGTCTCAAACGAATAAATAAATAAACAAACAAACAAGTAACCAAGTCAATAAATTAAATTCTTAACTAGAAATATGACTATTTCACTTACATCATTAAAAGTATATATTCAAGCCACCAGGCATGGTGGTTCATGTCTGTAATCCCAGCACTTTGGGAGGCTGAGGCAGGTGGATCACGAGGTCAGGAGTTCAAGACCAGCCTGGCCAACATGTGAAACCTCGTCTCTACTAAAAATACAGAAATTAGCCAGGCATGGTGCCACATGCCTGTAATTCCAGCTACTCGGGAGGCTGAGGCAGGAGAATCTCTTGAACCTGGGAGGCAGAGATTGCACTGAGCCGAGATCATGCCACCACACTCCAGCCTGGGTGACAGAGCAAGACTCCATCTCAAAAAAAAAAAAAAAAATCAAGCCGGGCGCGGTGGCTCACACCTGTAATCCCAGCACTTTGGGAGGCCGAGGCAGGCAGATCACCTGAGGTCAAGAGTTCAAGACCACCCTGGCCAACATAGTGAAACCCTGTCTCAACTAAAAACTACAAAAATTAGCCAGGCATGGCAGGGCACGGTGGCTCACGCCTGTAATCCCAGCACTTTGGGAGGCCGAGGTGGGCGGATCACGAGGTCAGGAGATCGAGACCATCCTGGCTAACACAGTGAGACCCCGTCTCTACTAAAAATACAAAAAACTAGGCGGGAGTGGTGGCAGCTGCCTGTAGTCCCAGCTACTTGGGAGGCTGAGGCAGGAGAATGGCGTGAACCCAGGAGGCGGAGCTTGCAGTGAACCGAGATCGCGCCATTGCACTCCAGTCTGGGCGACAGAGCGAGACTCCGTTTCAAAAAAAAAAAAATTAGCCAGGCATGGTGTAATCCCAGCTACTCACCAGGCTGAGGCAGGGAGAATTGCTTGAACCAGAAGGGCAGAGGTTGCAGTGAGCCGAGATCGCACCACTGCACTCCAGCCTGGGTGACAGAGCAAGACGCCATCTGAAAAACAAAAAAAAAGTATACATTCAAGATGGCAAAAAAAAAAACAACAAAGGACACAAAATGTGTGTAACCTACCAATTGGGAAATAGGGCATTGCCTCATATTTGGGCTTACATACATGGTATCTTCAACCCATCACCTACCTGCCTCCGCCAAGCCTACTCTTCCTGGAAACAGTACTTCTTCAGTGTCTACCAGATGCCAGGCACCATGCCAGGCCCTGAGTATATACGTCCCTGAAGTGCACACCTGCCCTGTGAGGGACATCCTACTATCCCCTCACTTTTTCAGGGGAGAAAAACTTAAGACTTCAAGAAAGTGAGTTATTTCCCACAGAGATAATAAAGGTGGAACGTAGATCTGACTTATTCTGCCTTCTGCCCTGAAGACTCTTTTTTACTCTCGTCTTCCCCAAAGTAGCAGCTTTAGATCTGCCCTAAACCAAGGGGCAATATAAAGGTTTCTACTCATACTGGGAGACGGGGAGGGCTTACCATCTGCACCATCCCAGGACAGCCATCGCTTCATTTTGTCTTAGCCAAATCACTGTTTCTGGCTATGACAGTCTAGTAATAAACAATGGATGACACTACCCAATGGTGGCTCTAATGCCGCTAAGATAACAAAAATAGCCAAAGCATTTGCAGAGGGCTTAGCTGTAGGGCAGCTGAAGGCACTTGAGTTTCCATCAGGCTCTCAACATGCTACCATTGCTTATGTTCACCCATGCGTCTTTTTCCCATTCAGGGTTGCTAACTCCATTAGATAGTTGTTCTCTGCCACTTCCTCTAATATTATCTTCCCATAAGATGAGGAAAAGAAACACAACAAATTCAGCCCTGCTCAGCCACGTGGTCCAGCCCACACAGGTCTGTGCTACATATAAACTTGTGGCTCCTTGTTTAGCCTCACCCCTGAACTGCAGGATGATTCCCCAGCAACTCATTTAATCTTTCTTTACTGCAGTTTCTTTATCACTAAAACGCGATGTTTGAAGACCATGGCTGAAGTAGCCAAATAATATTATCCAATTAAAGTGAAAAGCACCATATAAATGCTACAGAGGCTAAGACTTAAATAGCCACATATGGTTTGGGGAAAAGCACTCCAGTGCATCAGCTAGCAGTAAAAACATGCAGGAGCGAAATGATCTGGCTGGAAATGAACTGCAAATTGATAAACATTTAGTTGCTAATGCAGTGTTTATTATTTTTTACTAGGATAAAAATTAACTTGTGCGGCCTTAGCCAGCAAACACACTGAACTCTACCATCTGGGTAGTGGAATCGGTATTTCTGTAGCCTCGGGTTACAGGTGACTGTTGCCAGATTTGATTTTATTGGCAAATAGGTCCTGGTGTGTCCGGACAACAGAACCGCGGGATGCTTCTGGAAGCACAAACACGCCAGCGCACCAAAGGGTAACATTCGAGAGGGAGCTTAGGGCCACCCTCAACCAGACTCAGAATCCTGTATTTCCCAAAAAGAGGTTGCTACTTGTGTTGAAGAATCGCCTTTAGCCTTCGAAATCAGCCAGGGCTGCAAGGCGACGACCTCTCGAGGAACCGGGGGTTCGGGCAGCGGGGGATGGGGGGCGCCTGGAGCTGGGAATGGGACGCAGGGGGCGGACGCCGGCGGGACCACGTGACAGCGCCAGCAGCGGCCGCAGCTGCCCCAGCTGCAGACGCCGCCGTCCTCTCCCCGGGGCCGTTTTCCATGAGCTTTGCAAGCAGCTGGATCAATTTACTCGAGCCACAGCGCCCTACACAAGCACGGTCTGAATTATTACTCATGGAAATCCCCTCTGTTTCATGGAATCAGGTAGCTTTCAAACTCCCAACAATTAATGGCCCTTTTGGTCAAAGGAGAATAGCAAAAAAATAAAACAACCCCCGCCCCAACCCACCCCCCAGAAAAACCCAACCCAGACTGCCAGGCTGAGGGCTTCTAAACAGTCCGTTTGGTTTCTAGTAAATTAGAGAGAGTGGGTGGTTGAGGTACAAGTAATGCTATCCTGTAGAGTGTGGTCTTCTTTGACGTCAGCAAAATGTTTCTCTCGCGTTTCTGCTTCTTTCCCTCTCTCCCTCCTTTTCCCTCTCCACCCTCCTCCTTCCCTCTTTATGTCAAAGAGACAGATGACATAGGGTAACTGTGGAAATGTGCTCATAGTTTTGCAACATAGCTCACAGGCTCAGAAAAATTCCCACATTTTAAAAAATGAAGAGTATTGTGGGAGGTGGGTAAATTGGCAACACAAAAATACATGCTACCCAGGAAAGGAAGGGGGAAAGGCTGCTGGGAAGTGCAGTCACCACCACTGGCGGTATGGTCTTCCCTCCATCCTGCCCGGTTAGCAGCTCTGTCTGAGGGAACATTCTTCCTGTGGCGAAGAACACATTCTTGCTCCAGCTGGCCTGAAATCGGATCCTGGAGAGCATGCGCCCTGCTCCCTGGCTACTGTATTTGTGGGACCCATCCCGGACTGCTGAGCCAGGATTTCTGTTGGCTCTGCTCCCCCTCACCCCCCTTCAGCTAGAGTTGTTTTTCTCTACTCATCAAAGGCAGCAACAGCTGCCCCCATGGGTTAGCATAGAACTTTCTAGAATAAGGATTCCAAGTCTAGGCAAACATTTGTAACCTGACCCTGCAGTACTTTTGTTTCCCCTTCAAATTGCTTTTGTCAGCCCCACTGTTTCAACAGGGGCAGCCGTGGACACCCTAGGGGTCTGGCCCGACAGTCACAGGGTGAGGATTGGTGGAGTGGGCCACTCCCTTTGTGGCTGTGAATTGCCATTTGGTCTCTAGAGTAATGTGACTCTCACATTCTTTGCCCAGGCAGCTCTTTAAAAGCAGGAATCTATCCTGACCTCGCGGGTTCTGACGTGCTGACTGCAAGTGTGGTTTCAGGCAGGCAGAGAAAGGAGCGGGGCCCAGAGTACACATAGGCCTGGTTTTCTCCATGTGGGGTGTACTGGCTTCCCCCTCATCCCTTCCCTGATCTAGACAGCAAGGGCATCAGAGAACCTTAGAACAGGGAGTACTTTGTAAACCAAAGCCTCTAAATGCTGCAGACACCAGGTTCATATGAAAAGCATATCTGCCATGGAAAAAATACATGCACGAGAAAATGGAGCAAGGTCACATGAATCTACTCAGAAATGAGACCTGGAACCTGAAAAAGAACCTCTGTGTCTGTGTGTGCTTGTGTGTGTGTGTGTATTGGGGGAGGGATAGGTGCATAGCAGCATCATAAGCAGATAACATAAGAGCACAGCACACAGTAGATATTTATTAGGTTGTGCAAAAGTAATTGCGGTTTTTGCCACTAAAGGTAATGGTGAGAACCGCGATTACTTTCACACCAGTGTAATAAGGATTGGGCGGATGAACAAATGAGCAAGTGAATGAATTACAGGAATGAATTGGTTTAGAAAACAAAGCAAAAAGGAGCTGAAACTTTCTCAGGGGTGGATGGGGGTAGAGCTGCTGGATCAGTTTGGAAGAGAAC